>NC_000006.12:91549199-91700138 GCF_000001405.40 Homo sapiens | reverse complement strand
GAATATATGGTGTAGACAATATAATCTAGAGGAGTTCAAAGTCTACCACTTTAAAAATGTAAGTTTATAAAAAGTGACCAAAATTAATCTTTCCAGGGTTGATATAAAGACACAGAACTTAAATTAAATACTGGCATACCTCGCTTTATTGAGCTTCACTTTATTGCACTTCACAGATATTGCGTTTTTTACAAATTGAAAGCTTATGGCAATGATGATTCAAGCAATTCTGTCAGTGACATTTTTCCAACAGTGTATGCTCACTTCAGGTCTCTGTCATATTTTGGTACTTTTTAATAATATATCAATATTTATTGTTATTATTATATGTGTTATATTGGTCTGTGATCAGTAATCACTGATGTTACTATTGTAATTGTTTCGGGACACCACCAACTGTGCTTATATAAGATGATAAACTTAGTTGATAAATATTGTGTGCATTCTAACCATTCCACCACCCGACCATTCCCTCCACCCTCCTCAGGCTTCCCTAGTACATGAGACAAAATAATATTAAAATTAAGTGAGTTTAAAACCCTTTAATGACCTCTAAGGGTTCAAGTGAAAGGAAGAGTCACATATGTCTCACTTTAAGTCAAAAGCTAGAAATGATTAAGCTTAGTGAGGAAGGCATGTAAAAAGCTGAGATAGGCTGAAGACTAGGCCTCTTGCACATGTTACCTAAGTTGTGAATGTAAACAAAATTTGTTGAAGGAAATTAAAAGTGCCCCTCCAGTGAACAGAAAGAAATGATAGAAAGTGAAACAGTCTTATTACTGATATGGAGAAAGTTTGAGTGGCCTAGATAAAAAATCAAACCAGATGTGCCCTTCCTTAAACAAAAGCCTGATCCAAGGTCCTAACTCTCTTCAATACTTTAAGGCTGAGAGAGATGAAGAACCTGCAGAAGAAAAGTTGGAAGCTAACAGAGCTTGGTTCATGACTTTTAAGAAAAGAAGTCAACTCCATAACATAAAAGTGTAAGGTGATGCGGCACCTGCTGATGGAGAAGTTGTAACAAGTTACTCAGTGGATCTAGCTGATGTAATTGATGAAGGTGGCTAGACTAAACAACAAATTTTCAAGGTAGCAAAATAGCCTAATACTGAAAGAAGATGCCATTTAGGGCTTTCATAATCAAAAGGAGAAGTCAATGGCTGGCTTCAAGGCTTCAAAGGACAGGCTGATTCCCTGACTAGGGGTTAATGCAGCTGGTGACTTGAAGTTGAAGCCAATGCTCATTAACATCCAGAAAATCCTGCAGTCTTTAAGAACTATGCTAAATTTATTCTGCCTTGCTTTATAAAGGCAATGACAAAGCCTGGATGGCAGCGTATGTTTACAGTATGGTTTACCAAATGTTTGAAGCCCACTGTTGGGCCCTACTGCTCAGGAAAAATAAAAGTCTTTCAAAATATTATTTCCCAGTGACAACGGACCTGCTCATTCAAGAACTCTGATAAAGATGTACCAAGAGATTTATATCATTTTAATGCCTGGTAACGCAATATCTATTCTGTATCCCAGGGATCAAGGAGTAATTTTGATTTTCAATTGTTATTGTTTAAGAAATACATCTTGTTAGGCCATAGCTGCCATAGACAGTGATTCCTCTAAAGGATCTGGACAAAGTACATTGAAAACTTCTGAAAAGAATTAACCATTCTAGATGCCATTAAGAACATGCATAATTCATAGAAGGAGGTGAAAATATCAACAGTAACAGAAGTTTGGAAGAAGTTGATTTCAACTGTCATGGATGACTTTGTGGTTTCAAGACATCAGTGGAGAAATTAACTGCATATGTGGTGGAAATAGCAAAAGAACTAGAATTAAAAATGGAGCCTGAAGATGTGACTGAATTGCCATAATCATATTATCAAACTTTAATGCATGAGGAGTTGCTTCTAATGGATGGACAAAGTGGTTTCTTGAGATGAAATCTACTCTCCTGGAGGAGATATTGTGAACATTGTTGAAATGACACGAAACAATTTAGAATATTGCATACATTTATTTGATAAAGCAGTGGCAGGGTTTCAAAGTATTGACTCCAATTTTGAAAATGTTCTACTGTGGGTAAAATGCTATATCAAACAGCATTACATGCTACAAAGAAATCTTTCTTGAAAGGAAGTCAATCAATGCAGCAAACTCTATTGTTGTCTTATTTTAAGAAATTATCACAGCCACACCAACATTTAACAACCACCACCTTGATCAGTCAGCAGTCATCAATATCAAAGTAAGACCCTTCATCAGCAAAAAGATTATGACTTGCTGAAGGTTCAGATGATTGTTAGCATTTCTTAGCAATAAAGCATTTTTAATTAAGGTATTTACATTTTTTAGACATAATGCTATTGCACATGGAATAGACTACAGGATAGTGTAAACATAACTTTTCTATACATTGGGAAACCAAAAAATGTGACTGACTTTATTACAATATTCACTTTATTGTGGTAGTTTGGAACTGAATTCACAATATCTTTGAGGTATATCTGTATATGTTTGACATGAAGCAGGCGCAGTCATAATTGAAAAGACAGAACACTCAATATAGTGATGAAAGGACATTGAGAAATAGTCATGCATTGCTTAAAGACAATGATACATTCTGAGAAATGAGTCATTAGGCAATCTGTCATTGTGCAAACACCTTAGAGTGTACTTAAACCTAGATGGTATAGCCTATACACCTAGGCTATATAGTATAGCCTATTGCTCCTACGCTACAAATCTGTACAGCATGTGACTGCAATAAATACTGTAGGCAACTGTAACATAGTAGTAAGTATTTGTGTATCTAAACACATTAAACTTTGAAAAAGTACAGCAGAAATATAATTAAAACATTCAAAAATGGATCACCTGTATAGAGCACTTACAATGAATGGAGCTTGCAGGACTGGAAGTTGCTCTGCATGACTGAGTGAGTAGTGAGTCAATGTGAAGGCCTAGGACATTACTGTACACTACTGCAGACTTTATAAACATCGTACACTTAAGCTACACTTAATTTATTTTAAAAATCTTTCTTTAATAATATATTAAACTTATGTTAATTTAACTTTTTCACTTTATAAACTTTCATTTTATAAACTTTTTGACTCTTTTGTAATAACATTTAAATTAAAACACAAATACATTGCACAACTGTACAAAAGTATTTTCTTTATGTCCTTATTCTATAAGCTTTTTACTATTTAATTTTTTAAAAATATCCTTTCACTTTTTAAACTTTTTTGTTAAAAACTAACACACAAACATACACATTATTCCAAGCCTACCAGAATCAGAATCATCAATGTCTCTGTTTACCGTCTCCACATCTTGTCCCACTGGAAAGTTTTCAAGGGCAGTAACATGCATGGAGCTGTCATCTCCTATGATAACAATGACCTCTTCTGGAACACCTCCTGAAGAATCTGCCTGAGGATGTTTTACAGTTAACTTATTTGTAATAAGTAGATGGAGTATATTCTAAAATAACACTAAAAAGTATAATATAGTAGACAGATAAACTAATAACAGTCATTTATTATTAATATCAAATAGTATGCACTATATATAATTGTATGTGCTATACTATTATATGACTGGCAGTGCAGTAGGTTTGTTTACAAGAGCATCACCACAATCATGTGAATGATGCATTGTACTACGACATTAGGACTGCTGTGACAACACTGGACAATAGGAAATCTTCAGCTCCATTACAATCTAACGGGGATCACAGTTGTATATGTCGCCTGTCACTGACTGAAATGTCCTTATGCAGTAGACGACTGTACATTATTGTGTATTTTTGGCCATGCTATTGGGTCTTCTGAGCCTGGCACAAAAATGTTTGCATAGTACTTATTGGTTGAGAGCAGGCTTCAGAGTTAAGAGTGCCCATGTTCAAATCCTAGCTCTGCCCCTTTCTAAACTGGGAAAGTTACTTATCGTCTCCATGAATTGACCTACTCATCTCTAAATTGGAGATAACTATAGTATGAATTAAATGTCATAGTACATGTAAAGTCGCACATTATAAGGTGTGAAAGGCCTATTAACTATTAATTTTGTTCTTATTACTGATCTTTCTCCTTAGATATACACCTAAAGTATATAGATACCCAGAACAGTATTGCTCTCTAAATAAGAATAAATTAGAAAATTTTGAAAACATCTTACAGAATATGGTGTTCTTTAAAGAATGTGAAAAGCTTCAGTGGCTCAAGGGTTTATTATTTATAGAACTCATTTTCCTGAGTACTCCAAATCTGTCCTACTTTACACTCTCATATATGGTATTCTCCTAATTACATACGTTGTTAACAACAGAAAAGCAACCCACATTTCTTTAGTGTCATTTAATAAAATTAAACCAATCAATCAATAAGTCTCATCTTCAGTTGTATATTACTTTGCAAGCCAGCAGATTGCCACTGTGAAGTGAGTCCTGGGACTGTGCTGAGTACATGGTCCCTTCAGATTACATCTTCCCACTTCTTAAGCTATTTAATCCATAAAGCCTAGAATATGGTGAAATACTTTTATTAACCATACTTTCGTTAGGAAAAGAGAGAAGAAATGCTTTTCCTTTGTGGGTATGATGAGCATTTTTGAATTACTATCTTATGAACACTGATAATGCAGTGGCTCATCAGCTCATCTTATTTGGTCCCTTGTTTAGGTTGCATCTCAGAGCTATTTAGTTGCTATGGTGACAGTAATGATGAAAGCTGATTGGAAGAAGATAACATCTTATTTGGGACATTTTCAGTTGAAAGGAGAGAGTACATTCTACGCTTTCCTATTAGACAAGATATTGGGTTACATCCATGTTGATTAGCAGGTCTCACTTTTCTTATCAGTACAGATTGTTTCAGTATCGTACTTTATGACTAAACTCTCTAAAACTTGACTTGGGATTTCACCAGCTTGAAGTAACCCAATCTCCATCAAACGGGATTTTTCTGAATATAGTTGTTCAGCATATATAAGAGAAGAAATACTCAATTTAATATCAAAGAGCCAAATTCATAATTTCAAACAATGTATAGTATACATACAATATAATGAAATGTTTTTCATTGATAGAATTATTTAATAAGAATCCATTAACAGTCAGGAAACTATAGGAACTTCAGCAATAAGTAAATTATGAGGGCTTATTTCCTTTTAATTCTCTGATCCCAGCTGGAACAAGGTGTGGTTGAAGCATGGTTTAATTGTTCATAGACATCTGTCTTTGGAGCCTATTGAAAAATAATATCCTGGGCATAATATGGCCTACAGAATTTTTGACATTTTTATATCTTTCACAATCAAGGCATTGTCAAAAAGTCAGGTAGTGAAACTCCTAAAAACTTATGGATACATTTAGACTAGAAGGGAATAAAAACCTAGTAATATATCAATATGCACAGCTGGAAAGCAGATGTTCAATTGAATGATCTCAGTACTTAGGAAAAGCTATTAAACCTGTTACTTACTCAAATGAGAAATTCCCATAATTTATTGTTCTTATATTTGACTTACTTCTTTTTGCTCCTTTAAATTAACTCTGGAATTATTATTTCTATTATTATTGTTGTTGTTGAAGCCAATTACCATGGAAGTTTGACTCCATGCAATACAGTACGTGAGTGCTAAGAAATGCCCAAGGCTGCTGTCAATCAAATTAACTGGTGCGTTACAAGTTGTTTACTGTACTGGAAAATGAAGTGATAAATGCGTGCCAACCAGTAAAATGTGACATTTAGTACTGGATATACCAACTTTTTAAATTCATCTACCAGTGTGCCAAAACATAGTTTTAACTGAACCTCCATTATCAGAGGAAGTGTATAACATTTAGCTCTTTAAGTACTGATGACTATGTAGTTCAAAACTTCCACAGCCTGTGCATGTGGGTGGGGAGCTGACTTGCTTCCATCTAACCCGTTTTTGTTCTTTTTATGATTGTTGGTCAATCACTATAAGCTTCCACATGTTCCTTTGATTCAATCGAATTATTTGAATGACTCATGGTTGGCTCATAATATTACTAATTCAGTGAATCTTAAAGAGAGGATACTTCTGGCCAGGCGTAGTGGCTCACACCTGTAATCCCAGCACTTTGGGAGGCCGAGGCAGGTGGATCACGAGGTCAGGAGATCGAGACCATCCTGGCTAACACGGTGAAACTTCGCCTCTACTAAAAATACAAAAAAAGTAGCTAGGCGTGGTGGCGGGCTCCTGTAGTCCCAGCTACTCGGGAGGTTGAGGCAGGAGAATGGCGTGAACCCAGGAGGCAGAGTTTGCAGTGAGCTGAGATAGCGCCACTACACTCCAGCCTGGGCGACAGAGCCAGACTCCATCAAAAAAAAAAAAAAAAAAGAGGATACTTCACAGAGGTTTTCAACATCTTTGCAAAAATTAAGACTGCGTCTTGATGGCATTATTTAACGTTGCATAGTCACTTTAGGTTCAAATTGCATGACTTCTTAGCCTGTGATTTACTAATAGGATATATTTAAGGGTCATATTGGAGGGCAAAACTACCCTGTAGTACTAGAAATACTTAATGAGGTACCCAAAGGAGCTGGCAATAATATTCCAATTCTGAAAGTACCACTTACGCGTGAGTACTGCGTCCCTCTTCCAGAGGGAGAGAGATCCTTTTTCTCATAGTATCCTATTAAAAACAAAAATTAAATGCTTGTGAATTGGTGCTCTATGAGTCTAGCTATGCCATCTCCCAGAACACATACTTAGATAATTACATTTTAGACAAAAGAGTATTATAGTAATTCACAGTACAAATTCCAGCTAGGGAATAGAAATTGATACATGAAATATGTATCAATACAAATATAAATACATGCATATGTGTTCTATTCAGGCTTGAGCTATTAAGGGCCATTAAAAACACTGGAGCAAATAGCTCTTGGGGATTAAGCTGTAAGAGCCCTCTTTATAATCAGAAGGTAGCTAATCCCTGTTCACCTATTTGAATGCTTAGCCTCCCCAATATAATATTAAACTATTGGTTTTTACTTGCGATGTTTCATGAACATGCAAATATTGGCAAAAATGCCATCCCCCAAAGATCTTGGGATGCTTTCAGATTTAATAAACCTAGAGGTAAAAAATGCAGCTTGGATTGGATAATTTTTTAAAAGGTTCATTCTACTTTAAATTCATTCACTCATTTATACCAGCTACCCTGCCATCTACCTTCAACTTCCATCTCATAATTTCTTTCACATCCTTTTCCCAACCAAAGCTGCAGCAGCAGGTTCTGAGAAACACTCTCCAATTTTTCATGACCCCCATCTGTACATTCCCTTATACAGCCTGCTGCCATTTGGTTTCTTCCACAGCAGGACCTGTGCATCTAATTTTTCTGCTAAAATACAACGGTCCAGCAAAACCCCCACAAGAATGCCACCCTCTGTCTGCTGTGACCAGGACCGGCAATAGTAATAAATGACCATCATGGTCCTGCTGAGTCGGGAGCTGAAACATTTTTGAGCCTTTCTCTTCAAGTATTTCCTATACACACACATACACAGTTGGTATAAGTGTGATAAGTACCATAAGCATTAGAGACTGAGACCTCTGTTTTTCTATTATATAGATTTCAAAGAGAAATGCTTCTGATCGTCTTTCCCATCTTTCCAATCACAGTGACTTCTTGTGTAGCAATTGTATAATTAGATAGTTATACCTGTACAAATCTCAAGAAGGTAAATGGATATAACTCTAGTGTCATGGATTATATTGTCTCTAAACTCATGACTCAAATTCTCTATTATTGTATCTTTGTGCTAAAACAAAAACTCAACCAGAAGCATATTCTTCTCTTATTCCCTTTCCCCTTCCTTATTCTTACTCTTAATTCCTAGGAAAGATGTTCAACACTTTCTGATTCTCCAAGTAGTATTTTCTCTTACTCCTAAAACAATGAAAAACCCATTTCATAGTAGGTATAAATACATTTCATACGTACAGATATACGTGTTCATGTATATACATATAGCTTCATATAGATCCATATTCATATACATGACACTGTTCTTCTGTACGTGCCTTAGGAAGCCATTTAAATTATCACGGAGATTTGTACTGAAGCAGGACCACTATAGACAGTGGCAAGGGAAGCCCTTGTCAAATCCTGTTTTATAGGGTCTCAAGTGTCACATATCTATAGGAAATAAATGTATTAAAGACTACAGATGCCCCTACTACTCAGGATCAAACAGTCGGCACTGGCAACAGCATAACCTGTGACTCATGACTAAGGGCTTTCAGAATCCAAGGATACACTGTCGTACTTCTTTTGCCTTCTTTCAAACAAAAGGTGACGATGTCGGAATGTCGTGAAGGCTCGTGGCTTCTATTGCTGCCCAATTTAGAGATGGACAGTATTTCAAATGGCAGGGAGAATTGGAGCCGCAGATGTGCTTACCTAAGGAAATTCAAATTAACTTGTCAAATCCTTCTCTCAGATAGCAGGAATGCAAGAGATTTTATCATGACAAGGTATTGTTTCCCAGTGGTGCTGAGTGTCCATTTTCTTGCTTCTGTTCACATTCCAATTCATGGTTCCAGAACACTAAACAATTAGCACATCATGCACATGGCAGCTGAGAAACATTTTGCAATGTTAAAAAATTCTTATGAGTCTTGAATTTGTATGTATGTTGGTGTCGATTTAACAAGCATGCATTGTGAGACCACTTTCTTACAATGTCAACTAATGGAATGTGCTACAACTGTGAATAGTTTTATGTTTTATGAACATATTATATCAATTTAATTAATTTAATAAAAATTAAAGTTTTTCTTTTCTTTTTTTTTTTTTTGAGACAGAGTCTCGCTCTGTCGCCCAAGCTGGAGTGCAGTGGCGCAATCTTGGCTCACTGCAACCTCTGCCTCCTGGGTTCAAGCCATTCTCCTGCCTCAGCCTCTCTAGGAGCTGGGATTACAAGCACCCGCCACCACCACGTTTTTTTGTATTTTTAGTAGAGAAAGGGTTTCACCATGTTGGCCAGGCTGGTCTCAAACTCCTGACCTCGTGATCTGCCCGCCTCGACCTCCCCAAGTGTTGGGATTACAGGCATGAGCCACCAAAAATTTGGTATTCAATAATTATAATTTATATTTTGCATAGATAAATTCTGAATATTTAAGAGAAAACTTATTGAAAATAGTTTTTGATTTATTACATTTACTTTAATTTACATTATTGATAAATATATTCAAAATTTATGCATTTGGAATAAAATTATATTTTCTTGTTAATTTCTTAGACCATTAGTACCAATAGAACACTAATTTACTAAAGCCTTTATTATATCAAGATTATTATTTTGCTGAGATAAGACAAGAAAATTTGCTGACAATGTTATGTAAATACTACAGCTAAATCAAATTTTTCTGATATTGTCATTATGAAGATATATTTGTCAAAGTAGAAAGATAAAATACTCTGATTTATAAATTGTCACTATTTAGACATAGGATATTTACACTTCTGGTTTTTTTGTTTCTAAAGAATTGTCCATGTACTCTATGATTTTTAAAACTGTCTTCAAAGCCATTTTGAAAACAAGTGCTCAACGTTTTGGGGGAGAATTTTTATTGATTAGCTGCCATGAAATCACTCATCATACTTCTGGTAAGCTGCCATCTGAAGAGGCATGAAAAAGTTCCGTGGTGTCTGCTGAGTGTTCTCGGTTAATCCAGTCCAAATTATTAAGCCTTCATAATCCTCCAAGACACGTAATCAGATAAGACTGCAACTGATTTGAAGAAATCCTTAATTGCAGAAATCATCAAGCCTTGGTAAGTCTCAGGATCTCCAAAAACACCAGAATGTGGATTTTGGTGAAAGGTGGAAGATGGAAATGTGGGCAGGCTGGGAAGATAACAGGCAGTGACACAGTTGCCCTTTCTCCAAGCTAGAAGGGGCATTTTTAAAATCGTTTCCTAGGATCAACTTTATATTTCACAGATCTAATTATTTTGTTTGCTTATGTTGTGCTCCTGGCTGCATAGCATTAGTCTGCCTTCTGTCATTGCTGGTGGGTCTCCAGAGGGGTGTAAATATTAGGGGCTGATAGTTGATCTGTTACTACTGAGAAGATAAAGATCATTGTAAAGTCCTGTGTAAATGTGAGACAGAGACCTAAAGATTATTATTTTATTAAACATTGGAGAAACAATGATAGATGTTAAAGGGAACAGATGCATTTCAAATGTATAACTTTTTATACTGAAATACTTATTTTGTATTTGTGACATTTCATTCACTCATTATACCTCAACATCAAGTCATTTTAAGTTAAAACATGCATGTCTAGTAATGAACATCTAGTAATAAGAATAGCCAAATACAGCATGATTTTTGTTGATTTAATATAATAATAACCCAGAGTCCTACAATTTGTGTAGATTTTAAAATTTCTCCTTAATGCAGACTGCTATATTTGAGTTGGAATATTTATCTATGTGAGAAATAAAGCACACTTTTCTATAAGTTATAAGGTTTGCTTTGTTTTGTTTTCAAAAAAGCTTATTTAATCTTCAGATAAGGGCAGTATTCTACAAAATTATAGATATATTCTAGTATGTAAGAATAAAGTTGTATATTGTTTCTCACAGGAAAACCTTAAAACATTAAAACATGATCTTTATCAGGTTTTATATCTGTAATTAGGGGCTTAGACAAAAATCCAAGGACAGTGACAAATATCATATTTTTACTTTATTTCCTGCCACTACACTCATCTCTTTCTTCAAATAACCTTATTCATCTGCAGTAGCAAATATTATGGTCCTTTTCAAGGTTATTCTCAGAAGTACAGTTTTCATTTAATATGATGTAAATTTATCCTCAAATTTATTTCTTCCTAAAAAAATCTGCAATATCATTATCTTCAAGGTTAAGGAACTTAATTAGCGAGATGGGTGTGGCAGAATGAGCAGAGGAAAAATGATAGAGAAACATTTTTTTCATGTTAAGTAGAATTATGATTTATATAATTTAGTGGTACCTAATCTATGTAACCTGAAATATTCACATACAGTTTGATTCTTAATTTGCCTACATAAAAATATTGTTAGGGACCATGTTAGGCAAGGTGTACAGAAATAGGCTTCTGACCTTTCCACTCCCAAATGAATCTCTGCAATTTTCCAAGACTGAATATATTTTTTTAACTATTGATAAAAGGCTTTCTTCATTGTAGATCAACATTTATGTCCTCAGTTACACTAATAGACGGCTTTTTAATTTCAAACACTTATTTTTTTCTTTTTTACAAAGAAAAATATATATTAAAATAGGCTGAAATACTCATCCCAAGATATTGATGGATCTTATATAGATAATATTTACATGTTATATAATGGTTGGTTCTATTAAATATAACTTGCCATTAGGCCTGCATATTATTTTAAATGTGTCATTATATGTTTGGGTTCATTTTAGTTAGCTGCATATTATTTATCCTGTAATAAATGTTTAGTTCTTCTACAAATACTTTTGCATTCATAAAGTCATAAGTAGAAAGCAAGGAGGGCGAAGGGAAGAAGTTAGAAAGCAAAGGAATGATGGATGGAAGGAAGAAAGCAAGAAAGGAAGGAAGAGAGGGAGGGAAGGAGGGAGGGAGGGAGGGAAGGAAGGGAGGGAGGGAGGGAAGGAAGGAAGGAAGGAAGGAAGGAAGGCAGAGAGGAAGGAAGGAAGGAGGTATGAAGAGAGGGAAGGAGGAAAGCTTCAGGGACTATTAAGTGTATGAATGTGAACCAAGAGGACCAAAATTGCATTTGCAGTCAAAATTCTGAAACTCATACTAGCAGATCTAAGAAGTAAGGTTTCACACAGAACACTGCCTGAATCCAATCTATTTCTCTGGACTTGTCACATAACATATAATTACATCAGTTTGCCTATTTGCCATCAGTCTCCCTAATTAGCACAAGTTGGTGGATGGTGTTATAGCTTAAAACATGCCACAATGCTTTTACTTGATTGCCAGGACATCATCTACTTTTCTAACTATCCTGTCTTGCAGACTAAGACATAGAAATATCTCAATTTTAAAGCTTCACATCATGTTTTTTTACCCTTTATTATTGTGACCTCCCCAAAAAATAATGCTGCAATTGCTTATAACTTTAGTGTTTGTAAAATAATCTTTTTTAACATTTGTAACATTATTTAAAAATTTTTATAAACGTATTTTATTTTCTAAAATATATAAAAAGATTACATGTGAATTCACATAGCAGTTATTCTAATTATTATCATTCTTTTCAATGAAGTATATTAAAACGTTTTTCAATAGTTATTTTATGAATCTCAACAATACTCAGGTGATACAAATTGGTATTATTGCAAATCCCATTACAAAGAAAATAATAAAGTGTACTGCTTTACTTATACAGTAAGTCAGTCAGTACTGGCATCGGAAGTAGAGGGAAGTCTGTTACTAGAACTATAACAATAAAGAAATTTACACCATTAATCTAATCATGACGTTGGACCAAATATAGCAATATAATCCAGGCCTCTGCCAGTCTTCCTCATTATTGTACACAGATGGAGGGTATTGGATTTGTTAAAAACTTAAGACCAAAATGAGTGGGATTGTTTCTAACAGTACTTATAGATGTGATTTATAAATATAGTTGTGTTTCATACATATTGATGTATAAATACATGTTATTTATATATTTATACATATAGGTGTACATGATTTATACATATAGATGTGTTAAGCTACTATGCTGCTGAAGTTGAAATCCATTTGTGATAATGTTTTGCACATATCTGACAATATAAATTACATTAAGAACTTCATAATAATGTTTATGCAAATAAACTTACTTTTATGTAAGTTTATTTAAATAAATAAAATAAAGTTATGTAAGTTTATGTAAATAAACTTACTTTTATTTACATACTTTCTCTATAGTAAATATGTTTAACACTATCTTCTGAATATGAATGACCAGTAATTTGTGGTTTTCTCTTGGAAGCATATCTGTGTTCTTAGCATAATATAGCTTGATATGATCTTTTAGAACTGTTTCTCAAAACATAAACCACTTCTAGAGGAAGAATTTGACTTCAGCAAATTTAACAACCACTTTAAAATAGTAAAAGTTAAAAAGCTATGTAGAGACAAAGGTGTGAAGAGGAATTCCCACCCATACTTTCTTACTTTATATTTTACACAGTGTTCACCCTTAGAGATGACAAACACAGCTGATAAAAACTTAGTATAAAGGCTGAATCATGAGGCCAGGAAGTTAAAAGAAGCAGGTATCTTTGAGTAAGATATTTTCATCCTCAAATCAAGTCTACCAGGCACATCAAGAATATTTGATATCAGCATCATAATTTTGCGTTTTTGAATAAACTTTGTAATTATATTACTTGTAATACATTTTCCAAAGAAGAAAACTAAACACTGCCAAATGGTAAGATAATAATAATAAAAGGTACAATCCTATTATTTAAACTAAATTGTGAATATCTATATAAGTAAAAATGTTTGAGCATTTATTTATTTGGTTAGCATTTTCCTATGGAAGTGTATACATTGTTCATATTATGGAGAAATCTCACAGGAAGAACCCCACAATTGTCTTGGTTTTAACCTCCTTATACAGAAATTTAGATTTATATTTTTCTCTTGATTCAAATTATTTTCCCTCAGAATTCAAATTACATATATTTTCACAACTAAAATTCTGACTCACTTTTCTACTTTTTCCCCTTATAATTTATATTTTGGCAGGTTGAGCAATTGGTGTGGTAACTGCTCAATGCAGCCCTCCTGCTGAAATGAGGATCCTGCTGAAAGAACCGGGTAGTACACCAACCACTCACTTCGCCAGTTCACTTTTTTAGCAGAATAATAGCCACGAGTCAATGAGAAACTGCTAAAACTACTAATGTCTTCTCCCAAACAAGAAAATCAATCTCCGTAATGCAAGAGACCTATTTCAAAAGATAAAATTACCACACTAAATATTTTAGAGAATAAAAATACAAGCCACATTTAAAACCATTTTAAAAATAGCCATATTCATGGTGAACACCATGTACTCTTGCTATAAATATAAAAAATCTTCATGATAATGAATTATAAATTGAAAGGGGTTAATTTTTTGAAAAAGTAAGCCTAACAAAAAATAACTGTTCAAAATTATTCAATATATATTCTGTATAAAATAATTTTTAAAATTTTTTTTGCAATAGGAAAATTTGAAAATCAGACCTTAGCCAAAAGTTCAAAGTTAGCATAACTAATAGTGGGACAACTTGAAATTATGCAGCTCATAAAGCAATGCAATATAATGTATACACAATGATGTTTAATTTGAATCTAATTAAGCACTCAGACTTAACTTCTGGTTAACAAGATATATAGGGGATAAAGAAACAAATTAAACAGCACGATGAGAAAGTAATCAGATAAAACCCAAACATAGTACATTACACAAAACAAAAAGTTTTAGGCTGTCCAAAGGACAATATTATGAGAAAAATAAAAAGATGGTTGTGCAGGAGAAATTTAAAGACATTTAAGGAACAAGACAATCTAATGCAGTGTGTGAACTTATCCAAGTTTAGGGTGACATATGTAGGCTAAATGGGTTTGGATAATAGAGGACATTAAGGAGTCACTGTTAGTTTTTCTAAATTTGATAATGGCATTTTGGTTTTCTAGAAAAATGTATTTTTTGGAGATGCATGCTGGAGTATTCGAAAGTGCCATGGCTAGAATGTATGTGTCCCTCAAAATTCATATTTTGAGACTCAAGTTACAGTATTAAAAGATGGGGCCTTTAGAATGATTAAATCAGGAGGGTTTTACTCCTCATGAATGAATTAGTACCCTTATAAAAAAGGGCTTGAGGGAAGTAGCTATGCCCTATTTGTTCTTCTAGCTCTTCTGCTGGGCGAGATGAAAGCGTTCATCTTCTCCGGAGAACACACGAAGTCCTCACCTTGCAAGCAGAGACCAGGCCCTCCCCAGACACTGAGCTTGGTGGCACTTGGATTTTGGACTTCCAGCCTCCAAAATTGTGAGAAGTAAGTTAGTGTTATTTATACATTACCCAGTCGAAAGCATTTTGCTGTAGCAACAGAAACAGACTAAGACAAGGAGTATTATAAGTCTTAACATACTTATGTAGAGTATGTGTGCATGTGTGTGTGTGTGTGTGTGTGTGTGTATGAGTATGCATTTATATTTTCCAAAATGTTAACTACTGATGAACCTAGATGGAGAATGTACAGGTATTTGTCATAACATTTTGTCAGCTTTGCTTTTGTTTGAAGATGTTTATAAAACATGTTTAGAAACAAGTATTATATATACATAGATATACACACACACATATAAGTATACATATACAGGTAAGTGAATGTTAATTTCAAAAACATTGCTAAATAAACAAATAATGCCATTCTTATTTCAAAGCAAAAATAATGAAGGAACTGCATAACATTCTGTGAGGTGTTGGCCTTGAATCTACAGCCATGTTGTTAAGTATCCCAGTTCCACTGTCTCTAACTTTCCTCCTTACTCTGCTGTTGGCATTGTTCTCCGTGCTGAGATATATCCACTTACTTTTGCCTTCTTCTGAGATGTTGATAGGACGGTTAATCAATATTTCCTATAGTGTAAAGAAGCAAATAATCTTCTAGAATGATTTGATTTCATACTTACTTCAAAATACCCCTATTTCTAGGTTCTTTTCCAAAGGAAAAACAATGGCTATGAATTTAAGACAGTTGTCTACATCACTCAGAAGGAGTGTGCCCCTATTGGAAATCAACAAACTTTATTTATAAGACTAGTTGTACTTTTGGATCACTTTAATCCTTACAACCCAATCAAATCTGGATTACCTAATGAAATTGATTATATTTGAAAACTTATTGTGGAATTCTGGTGAAACACTCCCCCTTTCTTCCTTTCTGCTCCAAGCATTTATTGAGCATGTACTATGTCTCAGGCGTGGTATTAAGAACCTTATATCAAATTGAAATATTGAGTTATTTATTAATTTTTGTCTCACCCTTCTCCTTCTCTACTCCTCTTTCCAGCCTATTCATTGACCTGCTCAAGTAACATATCTCTCCAGCCAAATTTTAAGTAACCACCTTCCTTTATTACTGTTATGGAAATAAAATACTTTAAGAAACAGAAGCTTTGGGAGGCCAAAGTGGGCAGATCAATTGAGGTCAAGAGTTCAAGACCAGCCTAGCCAACATGGTGAAACCATGTCTCTGCTAAAAATACAAAAATTAGCCTGGCGTGGTGACTCAGCCCCTGTAATCCCAGCTACTCTGGAGGCCTGGGCACGCAGGAGAATCACTTGAACCTGGGAGGAAAAGGTTGCAGTAAGCTGAGATCACACCACTGCTCTCCAGCCTGGGAAACACAGTAAGAGTTTGTCTTAAAATAAAATAAAATAAAATAAATGGAAAATTTCTTTTGCTGCATTTAACAATAAAATGATAAGAAAACAGGTAACCCTCGCTGCTTCTATCAAGAATTACAGCATGTGCCTTACTCCTCAGGCTTTGAGAGAGGGTTGAAAAGGAAGGACTCTTCATGTGGCATGGGGTGTAACCAACAACTGTGTGAACAAACCCCGGAGGGACTGAGAGTCCCGTGCCATTGAAAAGTGGGCAGGCAGACCTTTCGTTTCTGCTCCACAGCATGTATGTGGATAATTAATGTGGCAGGTGTGCTTGGCTGACTAACCAACAGGCATGACTTTCCTTGTTTCTTGATAAGAGAAGTTTAGTTCTGCATTGGACCTCCATGTGCTTTATGGAGAGCTAGTTCCCTACCTAGACCTACTGACTGGATTATGATTAATTAAAGCCAATTACTATAATCCCATTCCCTTTACCAATAATTGATTTTGGCAAGGGCATAAGGAGAAAATATAATCAATGATTCTGTAACAGATATCTTCTGAGGGACTGCTGGGAAAGGTTTTCCTCATGGAGGAAATATATGCAGTGAAAGTAACATTCTTATTTTTCTGTCTTGGATGTCATTTTGGTACCTGAAACTGAGACAGACAACTCCTAACCATAAGGAACACACCCCTGAGGGCAAGTCCACATGCTTAGAGAGCAGAACAGGAAGATGGAAAGGATGTAGTTTCTTGACATCCCTGAACTGTTGAAATAACCAAACTTGGAATTACCCTACCTCCAGAATCATTAATGTGAAATAATAATTTTTTCTTATTTAAGACATCTGAGTCAAGGTTTGTTGTCTGGCTATAAAAGTACCTTAACTGATCTAACTAAGTGAAGGAGGCAAAAAACATTTTGCTGCTCAAAAATTTATGTCTTAGGACTTAAACATAGTGAAGTAATCTGCTGCAGACCATGTAGAAAAAAGGAAGTAGTTGGGAAGAAAACAAGACCTATATGTTAGGTCAAAAAAAGACTAAGTGGACTGATCAGTTAGTGAATCAGTATGGGGAGATAGAGCTGAGCAGAAAATCACGGTGTCAAGAGAGGACATTAGTCTGCCAAACTTGAGATCATGTAAAGCACCATGGCTGCCAAGGTGAGATAATGAGGTATCAAGATATAGGAAGATATTAAGATATTCTCATATGCAGGTGACACTTAGTTGCATGGGGAAGCAGGCAGATGCTTACCATCTGAGACCTCAGATCACAAGAAGCAAGTCCTCAATTATCCAACCAGAGCTCCGGGCAGTCTTGCAGTCTATACAGGGGTCACTGGGATTAGATAAACAGGTAAAACCTCTGGGTTGGAAGTGAGGCTTAGATACTCAGTCAATTTGGTAATACAGAAGGATGAATTCTGATTTGGGGACAACGCAAGTTGTTAAATGTCTTCCTTTGAAATGTGATAGGACGGATGAGCAGAAAATCATAGGTATATTATGAGAAAGTTCAGTTATGCTGGGATGTTCACTCACATTTTGAAGAATGAGGGATAAAGATCAATACACAAGATGAGTGAGGAGATATCATTTACCTGGGCTATGATTAGGAAATGGACTTTGTAGTACCATACTGTGCTGGGGATGATAGACACAGTATTCAAAAATGTGGCTGGAAGGGGTAATGGGGCCTTCTTTGATCATGTCTGAATACATCAGAAGGTGTCTGGCTGTCAGGAAGTGAAGAGACTGAAAGAAAGACAGCAATCCTGGACCTGAGTCCATCTCTTGGCAACAGAGGAAGTTATGTCTATTCTCACAATAAGGCAAAACTATGTCAAGCCTCATAGTCCCATCGAAGTGCTCTCTATGAGATCCAGAGGCTCAGCCCAGTTACTGCCCTAAAAGTCACAGCAGTTTCGCAAGTGCCTGTATACTTTACTGGCAGCAGTAGATATTGGGTCCATTTGATAATAAAAGGGATAGAGGAAACAATGCAGAAGCTCCACGAACATCAATGAGCCACTAAGTTCATGCCTTAGAGGCTGTGGGGGACGTAATATTGATGGCATGTGGGGGTGGCATATCATCTTTGCTTGTGTAGATTCAGAGCTCAGTCAAGAGGACTTGCAACTGTTTTGCGCAGACCTGGATGGGGCGGTGGGAGGTAGTGTTGAGGAACTGAAACAGACAAAAGCTGCGGTAAAGGGAGCTGCCACAATGCCTGGTGCACTTTTCATCTGAGTTCCTAGCAGATTGTCTGGCACACAGCAGCTGTTCAATAAATAATTGTTGGATGAATGTTTCAATTAATCGAGGACGTTTGGTAGCATGTGATGATCTAAGAGTAATATTTCACAATGAGAAGTCCAAGTTGATTGCTGTGTTCCACAAGCTGACCTTAAGTTTCTTGGCCACTGTATCTTCAACATTTTAAACTGGCCATATTTCTTATTTTATGAAATGAAATAAATGCTAATGTGCTAGCAAGGGAATGTAAACAAGTGTTGTTAGACAAATTCAGTGTGACTAAAAAGGAACTGTAGCAGGTGGATGCAAGTGAGCCCAATTAAGATATATTTGCTTTTGTGCCACAGATTCTATGCTTTTCCAAATAGAACTGTTAGATGCTAAGCAAATGGGGACTATTTCTGACTCATACTTTTTTTTAATCTGTGGGAAATATATTTTCTCATCGATATTTTCTGCTGTTCTCTGTTCAAACTTTGCTTTTGTGATGCTTCCTTTAAAGACTTTTTGTTCTTTCTCATTTTGCGCCATTGTTTATGCTGAATTTGTTGTTGTTGCTTTTGCATTTACATTCCACAGAGAAATGGTACTTAACAGCATAAAATCCCAGAACTGCATCAGAATAAAAGAGGTGATTTATAAACACATAATAGTCATTTTTGATACTTTTCATCATTAGTCAAGCTGAGAGAACAAATTGGAATTTGAGCTTCTGGTGGGCTTTCTGAAGGGATCCTCAGATAAATGTAGCCAAAGATAAAAGATAATTCCAATTAAAAGATAATGGATATTATGCACAATTATGGCTGTGGCCAAGTCAAAACACTTTGAAATTAAATGTCTTTGTGAGAGAAACCACAGTGTTAAATAAAATAATCAACAGGAATTTATTTCTACTTTCTTTGCTAAATCTACTCACAGGCTCATTCCCTATTGTGGTAGGAAGTTAAAATTATGTTAAAATAAAAGGAAACAAAACTTCCCAAGCTAGAATAAAGGCTAGAAGTTAAACGGACATAGTATCAAACTTTTCACGTAATATCATTAATTGCATTTATGTCTATTTAATTTTGATTGTTCAGAACCCCAAACCAGAAGCCTTCTGCGTAGTACACAGCATTTCACCCTGATGACAATTCCTCTCTAAATTTTCCATGTGCACTTTACCTTAGCTAAATATCTCATGTATTGGGAATTATGACAAAATATGCTATGGAAGAAATGATGGGGTTATCATTTTAAATGATATACTATCATAACACCAGTTCACAGGCCAATACCTGAGACTCACAGAATTGTGAAAAAGAGAGGAGAGCAAAATTAGAATAACAAAATGAGTAAAACAAGTGTACCATTAATTCAGGCAAAATCAATACAGTCTAACGACTCGCTGAAATGAATGTGACCAGTGGAGATCTTAAGAAAATAATTTTAAAACTGTCTTTCTTCCTTGATAGCATGTTGAACATCTGATGTTACAAATGGTAAAATGGGACTCCTGTAATTTCATGGGAAATTTGTTATTTTAGCATACAGTTTCACCAAAAAAAAAAAAGCAAAAACAGAAATATGTAGATGAAATAGAGTCAGAGATGATCATGAATTATCACCTCATGTTTGATTCAACTTAAAATCCCACAGTCTTCTCAGTCTTCAAGGCAACTTAATCCTTTGTGCCATGGATCTTCTCTATGTACCAGGTGAACAATTTTACCCCTGTGACTCTGTGGCTAGTAGCTGCAGTTTATCAAAAGTTGTCACCATAGAAAAATAAGTCAGATCACTCAGCATCTTTTTTCCCCCCCACTATTAGGGCCCTGATGCGTCAGGTAAATAATATGAGGGGCTGCTATGTGGCAGTATGCCTATTAATTTCGTTTCATTGTTTTTGTTCAGTCTCCCAATTTCAAAATACATGGAATGGGAGAGAGGATTTGAAATTAGAGCTATATCTCAAGACACTTCCCAAATTGGGCTTGGGGGACATTTTGGAACAGGGTACAATAGGGCCCCTAATGTTTATTGCTCCCACTGCAAAGAATACAATTAAGGTCCCTTAATGTTTATTGCTCCAGCTCTGAAAGAATACCATTAAGTCAGATACATCACCTGATGGCAGGGACTGCTCACCAGGCTGCATTTGGAAAATCGTGTCAGGAACCTTTCTTTAAACAAATCCAATAACATGATAAAGTGGCAGCCTACCGCCCCCTCCACCAGCATCCTGGACACTCCGTGGCAACCTTAATGGAATTGCATTAATATTCATGATTCATGGTCTACAAAACAAAGAAAGAAAGAAAAATGAAGAAGAAGGAGAAGAAAAAAAAGATCCACCACCCCCTGTATGCTCTGCTGTATTAGTGTGCCTAACGAGAATGAATTAAAACCCAGCTGAGACATGACCCTAAACCTCTTGCTTCCTCTTAACTGTCAATTTGGCTTTCCATAGCACTGTGATCAACTGCATTCTAAGTGGAAGTTGACACTGGCTCAACTTTCTGCCAATGCAGGTAAAATAGAATGGGAACTGCGTGAAACTCAATGCTGATGTAACCTGGTTCTGCACCATTACCCATAATCTGTGTCTTCAGCTCTGTGCAGCTCCAATTTCATTTCTTTAATAGCATGGGTTTTGATAAGAATCTTCCTTTCCCTCCCCCTCCCATTGCCAAGTTCCCTTTGTGGTGTCATTGCTAACTTCCCACACAATGCAAGTTCATTTCTCTAAGAAACTCCCATCAGTGGTCTTTAATAGCAGGTTAATGGGCTGTTAAATCTCAAATTTTCCAGAATGATTTTGTTACCAGGAGCCTTCCTCCTGTTTCTGGTGTGGTCAATAAGAGGCTTGTTTTAGAGGCACTTAATGCTTCACACACTAAGGGGATTGTGCCCCAAATCAGACAAAACAAGAGATACTTTTTATTCCCTTATGATAACAACACCATTTTAGTAGAATATCTGTGGGTCTATTTGTTATTCCTACATAAATCAATAAAGGCTCTGAAAAATACTGGAAGCTTTGCCAGCTGTGCGCTTACAAATATTAGATGAGAGGGTTCACAGACAGCAGATCATCCATAAGCTGATTCTCAAACCTGTGTTGTCATATGCTTCATGACTTGCTTCATTATCTGCCACTGCTACTTTATGTTGGCTATTTCTTTCTGAACCTCTCATAAACAAAATCCTTAATGATATATAGCTCAAGTGAATTCATTTACCAAAAAAATAAAGTACAGAGCAAGGTTATTTATAAACCAGAAAGCCAGGTGCCTTGCTGCAGGATTTCTGTGAAGTGAAACAGCCTGCTGGAGTTTTTCATAATTTCGAAGTGAATAGATGCTATGGATAATTAAGAACTCAACAAAAGCAGATTATACATTCATTTTCTCTGAGGATTTTTAAGAATGGTAGGTAACTATAAGAGCTATGATAATTAGAATGGGTGGCAAATAATAAATGACACAATACAGCACTTTCTATGTGTACACTTCTTGGTCTTATGCTTTTTGTTAATACTTCATTATACTAAAATAATTTATCACACTTTATTATTGAATGTTTAAAACAAGTGTTTTTATATGCTAGTGTTTAACATTTATATTAAGGAACTTACGTACAAGTTTTATAGACATAATATTATTTCCTTCTACTTGACTACTATACACATATCGTCATTTATTTAGGATAAAATGGATGTTCTTATTCTCTAGAAACTTAAAATCCAGTACAAGAAAATTTTACAAGTCACAGATGACTAAAGTACAAAATTAAAACCTCAAAAAAATCTGAGGCATCATTTTTCCCCCTTTCATTGTCTTGTTAATAAATGAGGTATTGTTTAGGGTCTTGCCAATAGTCAGAGAATAGGCAGAAAAGTATGACACAAGCATAATAGAAGATGATTTCTCATTTACATAAGAAATCAAAGCAGGTCAATATACTGCATTTAGAGATTCAAAGATCTCTGAATGCAAGATGAAGATATTTTTCATCTTATGGATCCACCATCCCTTAAGACCTCATCATTTGGATCTATTTTACAAAAGGGGAAGGGGATGGAGCATATTGCATGCCTGCTTCTTAAAAGCTTTGAAACAGAAATAGCACATATCAGTTTCACTCACATTCCATTGGTTAGAACTCAATAGCAAGGATACAACTAACCGTAAGAAAAGGCAGGAAATAGATCCTAGTTGTGACCTGAAAAAAAAAAGAAAATTAATTCTAGTGAAGAGACAGTTAGTGCTTCCATTTATGGTTAAAATATTGTAAAATTAGAAAACTCTGCTGGATCACCTCTAATTAACCCTCTAAATAGGACTCCTTGAAATAGGAAACTAAGAGTTCTTTAAAAGTGAGAAGACAAGAGAAATTCCATGAAGAGTAGACCAGGAGTTGAAATCTGAGAGTATAATAGGACAAATAAAGTAGAATACAAAATTTAATTACACACCTTGGGAAGTGAGTATTAGGGAGAAAAAGGAAGTAAACAGTGGGGAATATTCAATACTGTGTTGTCTGGGTATGAATGGCAGAATGACAATGTTGTGTTGTCAGTGAGGGACTTGGTCCCTATTGATCACAAGTAAATAATTAATATGACTGAGAAGTAGCCCCTCACCAGAATCATCCTTAATAATTCATTCATAGCAATGTAGTCTTTTTTTAGCATGTGCCTCTAAACTCTTCCACCCTCCACTCATTCTCCAGTTTCAAAGTCACTTCTACATTTTTAGATATTTATTTTAACAGCATCCCACTCTTGTTACCAAAACCTGTATTAGTCAGACTTCTCCATATATTAATATATATAGAAGATATTTATTACAGAAATTGGTTCAATGTGGTTATGGAGGCTATGAAGTCCCACTATTTGCTGTCTGAAAGAGGGAAAACCAGGACAGCTGATGGTGTAACTCAGTTTGAGTCTGAAGGAGACTGAGAATTGGGAGGCCGATGTTATGTATCCCAGTCTGAATCCAAAAGCCTGAGAACCCAGAACACTGATATCTGCGGGCAGGCAGGAGAAGATAGACATCTCAGCTCTAGCAGAGTGAGTGAATTCAACTTTCCTTTCCTTTTGTGCTATTCAAGCTGGTGGATAGCTGTGGATTATGCCTATCCACATCAGGGAGGACCATATACTTTACTCAGTTTACCGATTCAAATACTAATTTCTCCTGGGAACACCCTCACAGTGAACCCAGAAATAATGTTTTCCCAGCAATCTGGGTATTCTTTAGTTCGTATGAGTTGACAAATAAAATTAACCATCACATCCACAGAAAAGTAATTTTAAGAAGAAATATTGGAAAGTCATTTTTATTGATAGTCATTATGAGATGTGTCATCTTTATTGATAGTCATTATGAGATGTGGTTTTGTCAGTCAGTAACTAGGTGGAGACAGAAATCACTGAAAGAGATAACACCACAAACTTGAAATGGCAGAATGCTGAGAGGCATAAATGTAAACATGGAAGAATCCTAATGGTGATAAAAGAATGAATCCACCAGGAGAGACTGCTACCACAAATATGGCAGTGGGGAGCAAGAAAAAAGTCAACCCCACATTTGGATATTTGGGTTGAAAAGAATATACTCTAATGGAGATAGCTGTGAGGAATGAAGGCTTATTAGGGTCAATTTTTTTTTTGCCATATTACTGAAAACAGAATTTGGAAATGAAATTTAAAATCCATGACAATGAAATTTAGGACTCATTTCATATTTCTGTTGACGAAGGTAGTGAATAAAACAGTAAGTGCAGGATAAACATTTTAAGTTAGATGTAATAGACCATGTCTTAACTCATTTCTCTAAGAACTCACAAAATGAAACTTACTAATAGGCATGGCATTGCCTTAAGAGAAGAAGATGGCCAGGCACGGTGGCTCTCACCTGTAATCCCAGCACATTGGGAGGACGAGGCAGGCTGATCACTTGAGGTCGGGAGTTCAAGACAAGCCTGGCCAACATGACGAAACCCCTGTCTCTACTAAAAATACAAAAATTAGCCGGGCGTTGTGGATCACGTCTGTAACCCCAGCTACTAGGGAGGCTGAGGAAGGAGAATCGCTTGAACCCGGGAGACAGAGGATGCAGTGAGCCGAGATCACGCCACTGCACTCCAGCCTGGGGGATAGAGTGAGACTCTACCTCCAAAGAAAAAAGAGAAAGATAACAAGGAAAAACAAGATATAAACCCATAAGCAATGTTTCTGTCTTTAAATCTACTCCCAAATCATAACCTTAGTTAGTATTCTTTGCTAAGATAGTGTTTACTGAATCTAATTAGTTATGACAAAATGATGACAGGAAAATATAAACTTATTTTTATTTACTAAAGGCATAATAAAAGCAGCTGTGTTACTTATTTTTAGTCACCCTTAAGACTATAAGTGTCTGAAGCAGTATAATAAAGTATTTGACTAATTAATCTTTGTTTCTGTAAACTTTACATGTATAATTATAGCTTTTAGTGATAGCACGAAGAAGGCTCAGAGGGGCTGTCCTGGATACGTATAAAGTTTGGTGGGAGTAGAATAATGAGTCGAAAAGTTTGAAGAATCTGGGTGTACTATATTCTGTGAGTATACAATTTATACTCACAGAATATATACACAGTATAAATACAATGATTGTATTTCAATCAGTAACTACCTACACGTATGTAGGAACAAAAATTAGAACTCAAATCTACATGACATAAGGAGAAAGGAGAAACATTTTTATAAATATTTTCTGTTATCTGCAAGTAAGAAATATTATTAAAGATTACAAAGAAAGAAGAAAGAAAGAGACAGAGAAGGAGGTAAGAAAGACATTACATTCCTAATAAACATAAGGTTTGTCACATTTTACAAAATATTTGCACACAAATATGTAAAAGCTGCACTAAGTTTGGTGGATAGCAATTTGATTTTCCAAAAGAAGATAAATTTTTGAATGTCCCATGTTCTTTTATGGCCTTTTGTATCATGTAATAAATATTTCCTATAAATAATTTACTAATCATCCACATATCACTCTATGTCAAATAGGCACTTGATACATATTTATTGAATGAATGAATTATAGGTAAATATAGGTTTTATTTCAAAGAGGATATATAAAATAGTGTAAGACTGTGAACTCCACCTGACACTTTATTAATAGTCATGCCCTTTCTTACCCTTCAGAAAACATTTCACTAACCTTTCTGTGGGGAAGTAGAAATTAGATTTATTAGTTTTCAGTATTTTTTCAGTAAGAATTGCTGTGGAGAAAAAAAATAAGAACAGACATAGATTCCAAATAATATCCTGTTGGCTACTTAATAGTAAAAGCAACCACCATATTCAACTCATGTATGAAAACACAAGCTCAAGGATGTGAAAGCTGCCTATAGAAGTCCACAGAGATGCACTGAAAAGTTGAATGCACTTGTTTTCTCTCCATGAAGCTGGAAAGAGACTGACTTAAGACTCGTTGCTTAGCAGAACCCTGGAGTAGGGTAGGAAGAAGAAAGCAATGTCACAAGCAGACAGGCAGTCCCAGGACAACGCTTTGGTATAAGGAGGTCAACAGAAAGCTGGACCAGACAATGGCACTTCAGTCACATTCTCACAGTGATTCTTGTGCGAATATACAGGAAGTCATTTAGTTTGCTATATTTCATAACCCTTTTTAGTGTCTCTGCTCCCTTCTACACTTATATGTCTGTTTGGTTTTTCTCCCTTTTCCACATATTCAATGCAAATTGCTGTAAATGCCATTGCTGCCCATTTCCCCGAAGCCCCAGTTCTGCTTGTGGCACCGGCTCACTCATCGCTTATTCATTTATGAGGCCCTCAGGAGGCAGAATAAGCAGACTTTCATATACCAGTTTTAAGGTTTTGCTGCATTCAAACATTTACTAATGTTACATTTGGAAATGTGTATTTGTTAGCTGCTGGTAGTCCTTGGTGGTCTTATTACAAGTGTCATTAAAGCATCATAATATTTGGAGGAATCGCTCTGCTTCAAGATATTCAGGTTCATTAATGAACATTATCCATCTGACACATTTGGTAAACACCAGAGCTTCAGAGAACAGCTCATCAGGGATAAGCTGGGCCCTCTAGGCTCACTTGGAGAAGCTCATGAACTCACTACTGTTCACCCTCATTAGGCTTGAGATACAGAGAAAAAAAAATACTGAAAACTGCCAATATTTGTAAGTTAGAATTTAGAGTCTAATGTCTTTTTTTGTCATTTTGTTTTTTGGTATGGAGATTGGTAGATGAGAGAGAAAAGAATGCTGTGTGGAAGTTCCTATAGTTTGCCTTTGGAAAATATCAGTGTTAAGTTCAGAGAAAAGAAAAAACAAGGTAGGAATAAAAAAAAAATTCTGATCAGTTCCTTGGATTTGAATTAGGAACATCTTTTAGGGAACAAATATTATTGAGAAAAATCGGTAAAAATATAAGTATTATTTTCCCCAAAATGACGCTTTCTTTATGGTGGTCTGTAAAGCAGGAGCCATGGACCCACATTTAGAGATGATCCATGCACCATACAGCCCATAAAAATTTTCAGTAGAACTGAATTAAAGCAAAGTTCCTAAAACTAACCTGATTTCAATTGTATACAACTTTGGCACTTCAAATTAAATAAGCTTTCCAGCAAATTGCAGATCAAAAATATTTGAATATATAGGTCATTTTGTAGATGTAGGATACATAATCATATTTTGTATAGTCTTTACCCGGAAATTAAGAGATTTTAAACCCAATTATCAAATAATAACTTTAACATTGTAGTTATCCATATTTTATCATTTTAAATTCTTTTATGTTAATTTCTTCTAGCACTTGACAAAATATTGGACATTTCTCTTTGAAATCATAAAAAGTTCCTAAAACATGTAAATGCAGTAAGGTTGCTCATTTTAAGGATATAGGAAGATTCAACCTCCTGAATCCCCCAAAACCCACACATTCCAATAGTGTGTCCACTGAGGTTATTCAGACATTTGGTGCAGGCTGTAAAAATAGGAATCCGTTTATATTCCCCAGAAGAATTTCTAACTACCATGAAAATGGAAAAACAATGTGGTTACTGACAAAGAAGTTGGAACCAATTCAGGGTGCAGACCTACATCCAAGAGAACTTTGATTCTTACTAGAATCAATAATCTTCATTTGTCAAAAATTATTTATCTTCTTTCATTTTTAATTTGGGCATTTATAAGAAAATCAAAATAAATGTAAATGGATGGATAAAATTACTGTATTAACAAAATAGGTTTTTTTATGATAATTTAATAGTTTTCTGAAACTTAAAGATACAGTTGGTCCTCATTACAGATTTTATATTTGCAAATTCTAAAATGCACTCATACCCTCAGAATTAATATTCATGTTACTTTTGTGGTAATTTGTGTTTATGTACACAACAGTGAAAAATTTGAGTCACTCAATGCTCACATTCCTAGTTGAACAAGACGATTCTCTGCCTTCCTATTTCAGTTTTCATACTGGAAACAAGTATACTTTTTTCAGTCTATTTAGTGCCATGTCTTATGCTTCTTTTTTTTTTTTTACCTTTTGTTGATAATTTTAGTATTTAAAATGGTCCCCATGCATAATCCTGAAGCACTCTCTAGTGTTCTTAGGGAAAAGTAGACTGTGCTATGACTTATGGAGAAAATACATGTGTTAGATAAGCTTTGCTCATTTATGAGCTATAGCATTTTGGCTGTGAGTTCAAAGCTAATGTATCAAAAATACATATTAAATAAGGTGTCTTTAAACAAAAAAAACACACATAGAAGAAAGTTATGTATTGAACAGTTGATAAAATTGCGACCAGAGGCTGCCAGGAACTTAACCCTGTGTTTCCTCTAGGAGCAATGGTTCAGTATTCACTAATTCAGTGTTTGCAGAGACTTTACAGGACATAACTATGATGAATAATATGAATGTGCTGTATATATATATATATTTTTTTTCTGATAAATCCTTTCAGGTGAGACTAAAACTGTTGGCATTGCTCTTTACTTTGGCAAAGCACAAATTCAATATTCTTCGTAACCCAAAGACTGTTTGCTATGATATGGTTCATTTCATATAGGAAACAAATGCAGTATTATAAACATCTTTTCCACTTTTCTTTAATAACCTGAGTAGTCCAAAGAATGTATATGCAAATTAATGAGGACTATCATTTCATAGGGATAACTCACATCCAAATATTTTTTATTGTATTTTGTGTTGGTAAGTCACATTAAGATGTGATTGTCCACTTGAGCCCAGGAGTTCAAGACCAGCCTGGGAAACAGGGCAAAACCCCATCTCTAGGAAAAATAGAAAAATTGGCCGGGCATCGTGGTGCATACCTGTTGTCCCAGCTACTTAGGAGGCTGGGGTGGAAGGATTGCTCAAACCTGGGAGGTCGAAGCTGCAGTGAGCACTGATCACAACACTGCACTCCAGTCTGGGTGATAAAGTGAGACTCTGTCTCAAAAGAAAAAAAAAAAGAAAAGAAAAAGGTAATTGTCATATCATTTTGACCTACTAAGAGATAGTCCATATTTCTCATGTTAAATAGCATAAAATATTTGTTATATATATTAAATCTCACACTGTATGTACATGTGTGTAGCCTTACATTTATGTCTTATATTTTCATCTGTAGAAACAAAACACTATTATATATAAATACACACATGTGACTATTTTATATGTAGGACAATAAACTCAGATAAATTTGAAGATAATTATAAACTTGTTACAGGTGTAATCCAAAGAAAACAATAAACTAGTACTCACAAAGTAAGAAATTGAATGGATGAAAAATAATGAATTTATGGTACTTCAAAACAATCGGCAATGTATAAGAGCACCTGGTTAAAATAATATTTGCAAGAGATAATTAAATTTTTGTTTCAGGACTGTTAGTTGCAAAGAAACTCCTGAAATTTTCAAAGGCTGACTAGCAATTGTTTAGGAATTTTCACACATTTGAACTTGATATTGAAATCAATGGCCTACTTCCTCACTCTCTAAGAAATACCTCAGTAGGACATGCAGCATCAAATGGTAAGAAACACATATATATACATAAAACTACATTTAATTTGTAAATATTTGGAAACAAAAACCCACTGAAGACCATAACAGGAAATGCCATAAATTAGAATAGGCTGAAGAAAAAGAAGTGAGTATGGGAAAACTAGAAGATCTTCTAGGTAATCATTAAATTGATCAGGTCAGTTTGGATGGGAAGTGTGGGTAGGGAGAGAGGAGACAGTGGTGATGACGTGGGCACAGAGCTTTAATCTGGGCGAGCTGGAGATTTCATGCCTGTATACAATGTTTTCCTTTGAGAGAAATCTTTACTTATCTCAGACACTCTTGCCTAGGATTCCTACTGTAATTTGTCATCCATAGGTGGCCACTCAGCAAGCAGCAGAGCTTAAGAAGCAGCATTTGTTGTTCCAAAAAGATTTCTGGGTAGTTATACCATCAGACCTGTCATAAAAACCAAGAGCACTGATTTAAATTCTTCGGTGTGTTACTTAATTACCTTTTTAATTAGGATAAAATGTCTTTTCACCCTTTGCTATTTGAATACCTCCATCCCTGCTTTCCGGGCCAAGTTATAAATACACTGCAATGAATAGCTCTCACTCCCTCCCCTCTCTTTCCCCACTGAGCCAGCTGCTCCTGTGTGTTCAACTGTCAGTATCAGTGCTGCAGAGACGCTCCAAGTGCTCCCTAATAACTCGGGGAATCGGTGCCGCTCATTGCGGAGGCTGACAGCTGAACACAGCTCAGGGGAACTGAATGTGCAGGAGGAGCAGAAAGAAGAGGGTGGATTGATTCTTTGAGACGCAAGGATAAAATGCCTATGAAAAAAAGCCATGACTCTGCTTGGAGGTTGACTAGGCTAAGGGCCAGGAAATGTGTTAGTCAAAGTAGAAAAGGAAGAATAAACCTTCAGTTTAAACATAGAAGAAAAGATCATTTACAAGAACTTGCTTGTTTTCATGGAAACGTGTAATCAGGGTGGAGAGAATCAGGTGTCTATTCTGTCTTCTGGGACACAGAACTGGGGGACAGATGACGGAGGTTGAGGACCTGCCAAAAGCCTGACTCCCCTTTAGGGAATACAGTACCAGGCTGAGGAAGAGCCTGAAAGTTGCTCTTTGCATGGTCTCCATGAGAACTTCTAGAATTGTAAAACATTCTACCAAGAAGTGTCCTCAGGTACACTTTTAATTATTTTTACTTGTAAAATACCCATAATTCAAAATTAATTATCTTATCCATTTTTAAGTATACAGTGCAACAGTAATAAGTCCACTCACATTTTTGTGCAATAATGACAATCTACTATCCATCTTCAGGATGCTTTTAACCTTGCAAAACTGAAACTTCAATACCTGTTAGACAATAACTCCCCATCTCCCTCCCTCAGCCCTTGGCAGCCACCATTCTACTTTCTGTCTCTATGAATCTGATGACCTTACGTAAGTGGAATCATATGGTATTTTCCTTTTTGTGACTGGCTTATTTCACCTAGCACAATGTCCTAAAGGTTCATCCATGTTGTAGCATATGTCAGAATTTCCTTTCTATAAAGGTTGACCAATATTTCATCGTATGTGTATATCATATATAGTCTATCTCTTCACCTGTCAATGAACTCTTGATTTGCTTCCACATTTTGTCTAATGTGTATAATGCTGCTATGAACATGGGTGTACAAATACCTTTTGGAGATCCTGATTTCACTTATTTGAGGTACTTACCTAGAAATGTAATTGCTGGGTTTTATGGTAATCCTTTTCTTTAATTTTGAGGAACTGTTTTCCACAGTGGCTTCACCATTTTACACTTTCATCAGCAGTGCACAAGGGCTCCAATTTCTCTACATTCTTGCCACCACTTGTTATTTTCTGGGTTTATTATTATTATTATTATTATTGGTAGTAGCCATTCTAGAGTGAGATGACTTAGATACAATTAACTTTAGCTTCTTTATTTTGCACATGAAAAAATATTGGGACAGAAATTCTTCGGCTGCATAATTAGTAGTGGAGCTGGAATAAGAACCCAGGTCTCTCGGTCAACAACCTGAACTCAGGCTTCCAAAAATGGCCCAGTTGTATTTTGTTTTGTAATTCATGGTATAATGTGTCTAACCAGACTAAAACTATACTTTAACTTACCCTATCTGGACAATACATATTTTGAGACTATGTCTCTGGCCTCCTGAAGAATTCGGTACCTAATAGGAAAGCAGGTGCACATGGAAAATATTCAAAAAAGAGCTACAATTTAAACACTAACCAAATGACAATATTCATGGTGCATATAAATGCTGAGAATGTGTAGAATAATGAGGGTAGAAAGCAATCAACAAAGTCCTCTGGCAATTCTATAGAGCAGCTAAAATCTAATATTTTACTATCCACAGTGTGGGAGAATATACAGTAATAATGGAATTGCAGTTGAAAAACTGTGAGATCAAGTTACCAGAAAATGCATACTGTAAAAATTTCTTATTTATTGTTGTTGTTCTTGTTAATGTTTGTTTGGAGGAAAAGGTAATACATAGATTCTAAAATGTTATTTTCGGGTTTTGAGATTCGTTTGTACAACCAATATTAATTGAATTCCTGCTGTGAGCCAGGTGCTGAGGAAATAGCACCGAGAAGACAAATAAGGCTCCTGCTCTCCTGGAGCTTATTTTCCAATAGAAGGTAACTTTTAAAGAAACAGCAAATCAGCACACTAGGCATTGACTGCGGTAAGCCAGAAGTTCCAAACTGGTCATCAACAGGCCAAATATGATTAGCAGATGGCCAGTTTTGTTTGACTTGCATAGTATTTGTTTTTAAATTAAATTAGATAACATTCAAAATTTGGAGATATTCACCTAAAAATCCGAATTTCTGGCTTTTGCTGGAAGATTGAGAAATTTGACAAAACTTCAGGATAGTCTAATGGGTTAGGTGGAAACGTCCTGCTGTTGAAATTATTTTATAATTAAAACTTGAAATTTGAGAGTTAGCCAGGCATGTGCAGTTCTGAGGAAAGAGCACTCAAAGCAGAAAAGAAGCCCCAATTCCTGGAAAACTGCAAAAGCTGGGCCAATGAGGCAGCAGGTTACATAAAGGACTGTCACAAGACTTGATGAGAAGTTCAGTTTTGCTATATCAGTGAAGGATGCTAGGCCAGAAAGACATATAGGGTGATTTCTTTGTTCCCTGTATTTTCTAAATATGTCAGTTTAAAGATCTATTATCACCTTTATTATAATAAGAGAAATCTTATTTTAAAATATACAAAGAAAAATATTTTCTTGGTGCATATGTGTTTTAAGTAAGACTTAGAATAGGGAGAAAAATAAATCATTGTAAAACAAGGTCACTATAATGTTCTTATTAAGTGAAATTGTGACCCTAAATTGAAAGCCATTTTCTATCTAGACTTTCCCCCTATAGAGGATATGAGGGTGACGAGATTGGCTTGATCATTAGGGGTTAACTGGGAAACTGGCAGGAGTTAGTAACACACTGAATGTCACTCATCTCTAGGTAGGCCAAACTTATCTGATTTACAAAGGTAACACCAAGCACTGCCCTAAATCGCAAAATATGAATGCACTCGATATTCTTTAGGAGCAAGAGCTTTTGATTTAAGAAAAAAAAAAATGAGTTTTCTATTCACCGAAACAGAAGTTTTTAAAGTCTATGGAAAGAATGGAAACAAAAGAAGAGAAAACATGTAACATAAAAGATAGCATTTCAAAGGAGTCATGCTAATAAGCTCGACAATATTCAAATAAAACTGGTCCCTGTTCAGGGTCAAGTTTTACAAAGAGCATCCATGTAACTGATGGATAGGTTAACTCAAACAAAGGCCCTGGGCCTGGGTCTAAAAATCTCTTTTACTGGAGAAGAACTCCACGATGCCATAGAATTACAGTACACTGCCTACTAGACTCATCTGGCCCACAATCACCTCTAAGAGAAAACCTGTGAGAGGGGAAATTCAGAAAAAGAAAAAGAGTCAACGAGAATATCAAGGCAATTGGGATGGTGCAGTTCTTCCAACTGAAATTTTCTTTCATAAGCTCATTTATAACTGTGTGTGTTTGGTTGTTTTTCTGAAGTGTTTTCTTATAATTTTCAGGAAATAACCAGATAAAAAACTGAAATGTAAGCAATAGGCAGCAGACAATTTGTAAAATATTTCTGTCATAGTAAGTTCCATTGTACATAGAGATCTCTGAAGAGTACCATTGGCCACAGGATTTAGTAATGACTTATTAAAATAGTTTGTGGAAACAAAATAATAGACTATTAATCAATACAAAGGTATGAATCTGAACTATGGATTAAGCTGAGTTTGTGGGGTTGTTGAAATGATATTATATTATACCAGCTGAAAATACATATGTGAATTCCTATGTATTCTTAAAATCAGCCCTAAAGTTGACATTCAATAAGATAGGAAAAGTTTATGTCTGTATAGGTGAAGAACCATGAGTCTTTTTACAGAGATTATCAGTCACTATACCTTAATTGTAAAATCAGTTACAGGAATAAATAAGATTCTGTGAATAATCAACAATTAATGATCAAAAATTATTTTCTAATATTCTTCTTTCCTTAGTCAAATAAATCACCAACTCCTATCAGGTCTATATTTTTAAAATGTCTTGGTTTCTTCACCTCTGCTTTATCTACCTACCACTGTTCAGTCCATATATAAATTATATTATACCTGAGATATTATATAAACCTGACTATGCTATTATCTGTTCATAGTCCTTAAACTTCCATTCCTTTTGGAAAAGAAAATAAAAAGGAAAAAAATATTTAGCCTGGTATGGAGTATAAGAGCTGTTATGTTGTAGCTCCTAGGTGTGTCTCTCTCATCTCACCTCTTGCCATTCTCATCTTACACACCTGCATTCCAGGAACATAAAATTATTCAACAACTGCTTTATTGAATGCCTATTATGTACTAGGCTGAGTATATGGTGGTTCTTGTCCTCAAATTCATTTCTTCTAGAAAGCACAGAAAAGATAGTAAATTATAATTGTAACTTTTCAAGAAAGCTACACAGCAAAAATAAATGGCAATATAATACAAAATAATCAGTAAGGGCCAGGTGCAGTGGCTCATGCCTGTAATTCCAGCACTGTGGGAGGCCAAGGCGGGCAGATCATCTGAGGTCATGAGTTTGAGACCAACCTGGCCAACATGGCGAAACTCTGTCTCTACTAAAAAAATACAAAAATTAGCCAGGTGTGGTGGTGGGCGCTTGTAGTCCCAGCTACTTGGGAGGCTGAGGCACGAGAATCACTTGACTCTGGGAGGTAGAGGTTGCAGTGAGCAGAGATGGCGCCACTGCACTCCAGTCTGGGTGACAGAGTGAGACCAAAAAAAAGAACAAAAGGAAATAATCATAATAGGGGGCTTGGGTAGTATTCATTCAGAGAGAAGGAGTTTGTAAGGTCTCTGCAAATGAGAGATATCTGAGTCAAGATATGCAGTTTGAGAAGGAGCCGGCCATTTGAAGCACCAAGGACAGGTTGATTCACATAGGGGAAACAGAAAGGAAAGAATCTAAGATGAGGCAAGAGGTGCCTAGACTAGGATGAACAAGTGGTCTCATATAGGAGGTTCTTAGAGACACAGGGAGTTTCAGGTCACATAAAGACTTTCAGGCTCTGATGAAGAATTTAGATTTTATACCAAGTATAGATAGATTTAAGCAGGAAGTGACATGAAAAACTTTCTAAATATTTCACAGTAGCCACAATGTAGAGGATGTGGTAGATCTGGAAAGGTAGTAAAAACACCACTCTCTGCTCTCTGTACTTCTCTACTTATTCCTGCCTGATCACGACTATTTATGGCCAGGAGACTGACATAAGTCCAAGAGCATTCACTTACCCAAGTGACTCACTGGGGACTTTGAACCTGAAAGAGAGAGAGGAACCAAGGGAGAACAGTTCTGATATACCCTGCAGAATGTGCTTTGCACCTTGGAGGCTCCTGGAGTGTAATAGACATGACAGCCTGCTCCACCTCAGCCATGTACCATGGCTTATTGCTTGAGGTTTCATGAATCTCTGATCCAGTAACTTTCTCAATGGACCAGTGAAGAAAATAACAATACCAGTAATACAGGTAAATAATAATAGCCACAATTAACTAAATGCTGCCCACAGGCTAGGTATTTGTGATGGACACTGTATTAGTCTGTTCTCATGCTGCTAGTAAAGGCATACTCAAAACTGGGTAATTTATAAAGAAAAAGAGGTTTAAAGTACTCACAGTTCCATGTGGCTGGGGAGGCCTCACAATCACGGTGAAAGGCAAAAGGCACATCTTACATGGCGGCAGGCAAGAGACAATGAGAGCCAAGCAAAAGGGAAAACCACTTATAAAAACATCAGATCTCATGAGACTTATTCACTACCACGAGAGCAGTATGGGAGAAACAATCCCCATGATTCTATTATCTCCCACCAGGTTCCTCCCACAACAAGTGGGAATTATGGGAGCTACAATTTAAGATGCAATTTGGGTGAGGACACAGCCAAGCCACATCAGATACATTATCATCATTAGTGCTCTTATCAACTCTGCAATGTAGATAGTTTCTCCCACTTTCAAAATGATAAACTTTATGGGTCTGAGCAGATGTTGAATCTCAAGTGGTGAAGCCAGCATTCAAACTTCAGTCTTGCCTGATTTTAAAATCCATTTTCTTTTTATTACTTTTCCCAAACAAAGAAGGTTTTATTTGGATTTTTGTTATAGTTTTGTTTGCAAAACTCAATAATTTGACACTTTTTATTTCTCCCCTTAGTTTCTATAGCACTTAAATAAACAAAAATCTATCCCTAAAATTTTCATGTCCAAAAAATAAGCAAATAAATACAATTATAAGAAGTATAGAAAAAATTAATAAAAAAATTGAAAAATAACACATCTCCCCGACATTAAAATAAAACGTTAATAACAAGAAAAAGGAGATCAATAAGTGGTTTGGTCTAATTTGGTTCTCCCTGGATGGACAGCACCAGGTGGCAAGAAAATGCCTTAAAGTAGATGAGTGTCATGCTTCCCTCCCTGAACTTAGGCTGCCTTGTCAGTGTAGTCACCTGGAATGGCTTCCAAACGGAGCTTATGTACAACAGGAACAAAAATGAAGTCCCTTAGGGTTGAAGCTAAAGGCCAACGTATGCTCTAAAGTGTTTCAAAACTGGTCATGGTGCTTCTGGTCTTGAGAACATCCCTGACAAGGTGGGAATGAAGGCTGCATGCTCTGGTCATAGGTGCCGATGGGGCTTCCATCACCTCCAGTGTCATTGGGCACCTAAAGAGTGTGCAGCAGGCCGGGCACGGTGGTTCACGCCTGTAATCCCAGCACTTTGGGAGGCCGAGGCAGGCGGATCACGTGAGGTCGGGTGTTCGAGACCAGCCTGACCAAAATGGAGAAACCCCGTCTCTACTAAAATTACAAAATTAGTCAGCTGTGGTGGCTCATGCCTATAATCCCAGCTACTCAGGAGGCTGAGTCAGGAAAATCGCTCGAACCCAGGAGGCGGAGGTTGCAGTGAGCCAAGATTGTGCCATTGCCCTCCAGCCTGGGCAACAAGAGCAAAGCTCTGTCTCAAAAAAAAAAAAAAAAAAAAAAAAAAAAAAAAAAAAGAGTGTGCAGCATAATTGAAGTTCTAGAGCCAGACTTTAGACAAGGCAATAGTCCTACAAACACTCCCTGGCTATTTGCCATCTATCTAAAGCTACTCCTAGCTTCCATTTTTTAAATATTTCATTATTGAAGAATCAGAGCAGCAAAGTCAAATGTCTCATAGCACTCATAGCAGATAATTATTTTGCTAGGTGACGGTGGCAGCCTCAGCAGAGGGAAAACAGGAATGACTTATTAACATTTTTAGATGATTGACGACAGGTGTCTTCATTTTGGCAAGGGAAACTTTTAGTCAACTGAAAAGGCATGGGCTTTGGAGTCAGACTACTAGATTTCAATGAGGACTTTTGAGCTATGCTGTGACCTTAGCCAGGTTAATTTAATTACACTAATTTGCAAAATCTCATGTTTACAAAAGGAGAATAGGTAGTTTATAACATAAGAAACGGTGTATAACATATAGATGGTGCTCAATAAATATTTGTTTTATTTTTTCTTCTTCTTTAAGTAGTTTCTTGTAGCAAAAGAGAGTTTAGCCATGGAAGCCTGCTTATTAAATGAAGTATGTTGAAAAAAAAAAGAAACCACTAAGGAACCATGTGTCCTTCACCAACTCATTTAACACCTCTTAGTCTTAGTTTCAACATTTTTCAGAGAAAATTATATCCCCCAAAAGCAATTATAGAACAAAAGATAAGAATAATTATGATTCACATGATCTTTATTCAGAGATTATTACTCATAGAGCTTGAGAAAAAAATGTTGAAAAGCCAGGTACTTTGATTATTATAATGTTCTCATATTTCTTACTGGGCCTATGAAATACCAAAAATAAACACTAAAGATAAAAGATATTTGAAAGCAGTGCTATTCCTTTGGAAGTTACTTCCTTCCAAAATTTAAGAGGATTCTGATGTTCCCTTAGATTACTTTTTGTGAGAATTGTTTTTATAGAGATACATATGTACATGATTCTTAGCTATTAGTACTAAAATGTGTTTTCTCTCTGAGATATAAATGATGTTCAAAGGCCAATCACTCTGCACAAATGTCACCATTCTCAAGATTGATTTAGCATTTCTTCAACCTGCAACAGATTCTTAAATCAGTAATACTTGGAGACACCATGCACATCAAATGTACTAGTGGAACGCTTACAAAATCAATGAATGGTAGTCTTGTGAGTCTTGTTATGTCTATTTTATTGATTGAGTTTTTATTATATCTGTAATTACAGTTCAAAAGTACAATTTGATGATCTTTAAAAAAGTATTAACTCTTAAATTCTCTTAACCTATAGGGGCCTTGACTGTTTCCTTGCTCCTATTACTCTATAGTTTAACCTATTTCACATCTAAATAAATAAATATGCTTCAATAAGACAGCTTTCTCTGAAATACAAGGGCTGCAGAGGAGGGTTTTGATTGTAGTAGTCAGAGGTCCACTTATCTACATGGAGTAGTACCTAGATGGGCTCTTTTTACCCAGAATTTTATGGGAATAATCAAAGGATTCACTGAAATTTATTTATCCCACACGCTCTCCTGAGAGCCATGCCTTCTTGCTAACAAATTGGTGATAGTCACCTGTGGCATGGCCAGCAAGGCAAATGGCTGTGGTTCAGTATTACCCTCTTCTGTTCTCCCACTTTCTTTTTCTCCCACAAGAAATGGACTATTAAGAATATCTGCTCTTTCAGTTCCCTTATTACCATTTCATACTATAGTTAGAATTCATTAAAATATATCTCACTGTAGGCCATGTAGATGATGGCCACTTTAGAGGTAGTCAGTTGCCCAATTACAAATTCACTCCAAAAGTCATCAAATATCTAATTAAAAAATAATACACTCCCAGATGCCATTTTTGTTGATCAAACATGGTTGAATATTATCAATTTCCTATGGTTAAATGAATGTAATAACTTCAGCAATTCATAACTTTGATCAGCATAGAGCTTTGCTATTTAGGTTAATATATTTTTAAAATGTGCTTTCATTGGTAAAATTGGTGATTTGACGCAGATGTTAATATATTTTAGAAATCAGCTTTCTCAATTAAAAGTAGTGCTATTCAGATATGTGGACTGGCTTAATTATTTCCAAGACAATCTCTATTCTCTCATGAGAAGCCTATGAAACTCTAGCAAACCCCTTAGGGCATACCCTCAGGAATGGTGACTGAGGTTTGATCAAGGGTCTTGTGTCCAGCATTGGTTTCTGGAATATTGTCATGTCTGGGGCTTCAAGTACCTCTTTTGTGCAAAGCATAATAGTAGCACCTACAAAGATAAGAGACTGGGGTTTTGTTCATCTCAAATAGTAGGTATTGTTTAAAATGTTTTGTGCCTTTTTGCTAATAAGTGACTGTTTAATATATGTCAGTGTAGGTGGCAGAATTTGATCCATGCTTTTATTATTATCTGGTTGGGAAGTATGGGAATCAGCAGCTACACTCTCACCAAAAATACCCTAAGAGTTGTGTGCATAACTAAGTTTTCTTAGGTCATTTTGTGTTATAATATTTTGATTTTTAAAATGTGTCCTTGATCAAATTGCAGTCTTTGTGAAGTAATTACTCATCGGTCTCCATGGAAGACTTCCCTTCCTCCCATATGCCCTTCCCTGTGTTGAGTGGCTCTGAAGCCATGGTTCATTGACTCTAGACCAAGTGTTCTGTGTTAAAAAGCATATGATTTGTGTCAGCTCTCAATGGGATCAGCATGCTGTTTGAGAGGATTTAAACTGTTTTCAATGGAAGAGTCACTTATTGCTTAGGGATAGAATTTCAAACAGAGATCCCTTTACTTTATTTGAACAGTATGGGATGGTAGCACTCTGTGTTGGCACTATTATTCTTTCCCCTTCACACACCCAAAGTATGGGACATCGCTGCTTTATGAATTCCTGCCCAATATGTTGGAGGCTAAGTCATTACATGTGTACATTCTCTAAATTCTATTTCATAAACTATGTGGAAATGATGTACCACATGTTGTTGCGTATATGGACAACACATTATCTTGTCTTAATCTTGGATCATACATGCCAGAGCCCAAGTTCCCCGATTCTAAGACACTGAGGTTTGCATCAGCTGTCATTTGGATATAAGCTGCTCCTATAAAGGGGGCATAGTATTGGGCAAGGAAGCTTCTTCTAGCCAAGAACAATTTCTAAAGAGAGGCTTCGTTATGAACTGTTAGCAGCAAACTCAGGAATTTGAAGAATAAGCACCAAAGTCCTGAATGGGAACAGAGGCGGAACATCACAGCCATCACCTTCGATTCAGTCCCAGGTTTGGACTATTCCTAATATGAAGTCCCTTCTTTTACCTGCGTGTACCCCCTGGTTTGGTCTTGACTGAATCTCAGTTTTTCCCTTGATTTCTCCAGTGCTAGCCTAATGGTCTGCATTTCTCCACCTCTCCCTCTCCCTCTGCTTATAAATATCATGAATCCTGAAGGGACACCACTCATCAAAAGAAGAGTAGAGTCTCCTTTTCCTGCTCAACATCAGCCCAAACTGCTTATAGCACTTACAAAGAGATGTATGAGAAAAAACAGTAGTGAAGAGGAAGATAGTACTTCTTAAATAATAATCTCTGCCTCCTCCACTATGAAGATAGAAACAAAAGAAAAGACCGAGAGAGAGAGAGAGAGAGAGAGAGAGAGAGAATTTGAACAGGGAAACAAACACCCCTGTGGAGTAGGAGAAGCTAAAATACAAAGCACAGGAGTAAGTCAAAAATCTAAGTCACTTAGTAAGTGAGAGAATAGCTAAGTGCTGAGAAAAAGTGGTCAAATGAGCTAACAACCAGGAGGTTAGAATTATACCAAAGTGAAGAAAGGAAGCTCTAATGGGAAAAAAAGGTGTTCAAGAAAATGTTAGCTTATTTTGATAGAATATTTCTGGAAGACAGAGAGAATAGAAAAGAAGACCCTGGACTGATCAACAAGACAGATAGAGTAATTTCTGTCACCCTTAGGGCTAAGCAAAAATCGTGGGTAACATTCACCCTAAAGACTGTTCCCATTTCTCATCTGGTTTACATGATTTCACATTAATGCAACTCACGGTCAGCGAATGCAGGAGTGTGATTAAGTACAATCCTAATACTTTAAATAAAAATGTAATACTTTAAAAAAGCATAGTCTTCCAAAATTTCCAGATAACATTTTAAAATTTAGCCTTTTATTTAAATCACATAATGTGGTATCCTACCAGTTTTCAACTCATCAATTCTCCTTTCATTCAAATTACTATTGAAATGTAACTTCCATCGTGAAGTCTTCTCTGATAAGAAATCTTTTTCTTTATGCTGTTCGATCTAATCGGAACATGCAAATGCAGTGACACTCTTACTTATCTCTGCTCTGATTTCATATACCCTGAATGTGTGCCCGATTAAATTATGCAGTCAGGTTTTTATAGAAATCTATTCCCTAGTTCTTCTCATTCAGATCACCAAGCCTACAACTTTGCAGGCAGCTTTAATGCCAATGGACTACTGCAGAATAAGAAAATGGTAAGGATGGCACAGTTTGTCACTCAAAATGATATCTGTTTTAAGTGTCATTGTGACCATATCTCATTCAAAAGAGTACATACCATGCAAAAGTCAGATGTCCTTGTGAGGGGCCACTAGTCATCTCTCAGACATTTTGTTGAATTCATTCATATCTATATCTACATCTACCAGTGTGAATATCACTATCTCTAGCTCTGTAATATGTACATCTATATCTACAGATACAGAAATAAAGATATAAAAGGGACAGGGGCTACCCATCATGTTTAAATCCAAAAGCAATGATCTTCACAGATTTTCTCAGTGCAGAAGAATGTCCCTGTGGAGAGGTCTATAAACAGAATGACAGTGCAGTCACGATATTTTATTCAGAAATATCAGTGTTTATTTTTAAACAAAAGGGAAAGCTCTCAAGACCCATTAGTTTTCTCTTAAAGACAGACAAACTTTACCAACCTCCTTTGGAAGCTGTGATAATTTTCATAGTACTCTAGATGATTTCAAAAAGAACAAAATATAATGAAGTGCTGCTCTTACAAACACAAATTTTATAGAAACCCTTGGACTGGCAGCTTTGGAAATTCTTCTCTCAGGGGAAGTAAATTTAAGTGGAGCTGCACTTGAGTTCAGTTTGTATTCCCCTCTCAATTACCATCAATACAGCTGAATCAGGAGCTACACCAAAATTCCTGAGATAGCTTTTTAAAAATCTAAAATAAAAGAAGAAAGTGTTACTGCAGACAGAGGTGAAAGAAGCCTTGATACAGGAGGGACAAAATCCCTGGACGGAGGGAGCTGAGGGCATGAAATAATGAAACAAAACTTGAAATACCCAAAGCAGGATATGTGCATCAGAATTATTGTTCTTTCTTCTAATTGTTTAGGGCTGCAAATATTTGATGTGGTTTTGCTTGACTTAAGATACATGGTAATTCTTTAAACAGATATATAATAAACAACCTAGATGATTATCATGTAGGAAAGGAACGGTTAGTTAGCATAATATATTTGGGAGTTGCTCCTTTTTGCGTGATTAGAAAACTCTTCTGGACGATGTACCCCAGGCATCAAGGAGTGGTACAGTACCTCATCATGGCTTATTGCTTAAGCATGCTGCAGGCAACTACTATATCAGCATTTAATGGCTCAAAACAATAAGATATGTTTGTAAGACACAGAACATTATTCAGCAGTGCTTCTCTATTACCAATAGATAGATTATTGCTTGAGCTTCAAGTTTTCAATAAGTAAGAAGCATTTTTACTAATTAAAATTGTGAAAGTAACCTTCAGAACTGGTTGCTTGATCTAAGTAATTCCAAGAAAACAGTTCATTGATGATATTGGCATAATCTGATATTTATGAAATTCTAGCTTTTCTATAAATATTGAAATTTAATGTCAAAATTGAGTAATTAGAAGTGGAGGTTTTAATCTCTTATTTACCTTCAAGCCATAACCAAGATCTGCAAGCCTAGCTACACAACAAAACATTGAACTATCTTCCAGAAGCTCTAAGCGCCAATGTGAGGTTTTTATAAGTGCCATGCTTAACATAGCACTAAGAATACCCATGGGAGCATCATTAAAGTTGCCCAGAACGTGCATCTTGATGCATTATTTCTAGTCTGACAGCTCTGCACTGCAAAACACATTCTGCTTCACACACACACACTTGTCAGTACCATTGCAGACTTCCCTCTGTTGACCCAAGGTACTATTAGGCGGGTCTGAATTGTGTCCACACAGCAAGGATCTCAGTCTGTTAGATAATAGAACCAGGTTTGTTTGATTACAGAAATATCTTTACAGAAATATTTTTGATTACAGGCATATCAAAAAACAAATCAAATTTGGTCCATATTTTATAAATTGATCCAACAAATCAGCATCAGATTTGTGATGGTAAGTGTATAATTTGCATTTTGATTCTCAATCCTTCTGCCACAATATAAATTTGCTAATTCATCAGAGTTCATAGTGAGGATTGTGCTGAAAACTGTGAATATAAAGATGAAACTGACCAAGACTCCAGCAATTACATTAACATATACAGATGCACAAAGTTGGTGGAGTTAATTTGGTAGAGTTAATACTTTGGTTCAGTTAGGACTTTGCAGTGAGCCAGATCTGAGGTTGAATCTTGGTTCTGCAGGTTACTATATCTGTAACCTTGGGCAGACTACCTCATCACCATAAATTTCAGTTTCTTGGTTTATAAAATGAAATTAACAAAAAACCTCACCTCATTGGGTCATTTTGAGATTTAAACAGGGTAATTACGTAATTCATTTAGCATATTGCTTTTCTTATAACAAATGTTCAATTAATGTCAACAAATGTTAAAAGATAACATTAACCGATAATTTTTTTAAGCCAGACTTCAGATTTTGGATTTAAACTTCCCAGTATATGACAATGATAAAGGACCTAGTGAAAGTGAGAAATATGGAGAGAAGTGATGGATAATGGATGTTCCTCTACAACCCGGCCCCTTTAAGTTCCACATCATAGGGCTGTTCAAGAACATAATAACAAGCCACAAACACAACCGCCCTTCAATAACATGAAGGTGAGCTGCAGGTAGGTGGGCAGAGGGGCCACAAAAGTGCAATGAAGCACAATGGGAGGAAACATAAAATAGCTGTTGATCACTGGGAAGTAGTAACAGCAAACAGGCAGTGCTGGCAGGGACCAGTCAGAGAAGAGGGGACTCAGAGGAAGGGAGACAACGGAGCTTCCCATGAGGCAAATTTGCTGAGCTCCAAACAGCAGGAGGCTGGGCAAGTCATCTATAGGATTTCCCCTTGTACTCTGGCCTGGGGTACTGTGAAAGTCAAGCGGTCTTCTCTGTCTCTGCAGTTGGTATATAGATCCAGACAACATCTCCTAAAGACAACCCAGTAGAGTGAAAAGAGCAGAGGCTGTGTGTTTTTACTCACTGTTCCACCACCTACCAGTTCCGCGAACTTGGGCAAGTCACTTGACCTCTGCAGCTCAGTAGCATGGTCTGTGAAATGTGATGATATTGCCAACCCAGCAAGCAATCAATGGTAGTTTCCTTGTCTGATTCCCTTCCCATCCCCACGTTACCTAACATTTGCCATATTTATTTATGTTTTTATTTTGGAACAGAATCCAGCACTTAAAGCACCTGGAAATTAGCGGGGTAAATCCATTGCTTCTTGGCACAGGAGCCGATTTCCTTTCTCTGTAACAATGAGGAAATCATCACATCACCACCCATCATCCTGCTGCAATCATTTCAGCGGCAGCAGAAATCGTTCCCATTCTTTATCTCAGGATTACTTTTGTTCTGTGAAGCTCTCTAGAGCTTCAAAATTCTTGGTGCATTTGACGAATTTTGCTTTAAATCCAGATCCCAGATGCAGAACTGTATTTATTTTTTTTAAAAAATCCCTGGCAACCAAACTTCAAGTCTTTTAAAACCTCAAGGAAAGGCTGTTGTCATTGGTTTTGCCCTTATCCAAATCTGCATGTACTTCTTGACCACAAATTAGGTCACGGATAAGTTTGGAGCTGCCAATCAGCCTTGGATTCATCAAGCATTTTAAACTGCTGGTGCTGCAGTACAAACGACAGTGTGTGCCACAGATAACAGTATCATTTGCATAGTTACAATCAGTTAGTGATAGAATGCCTGAGAGGCAGAAGGGATGCATGGCAAATGCAAAGTCACTTTCAGATTTGCATTCGTTTTGGTTTTAAATGGGGAACAGAGGACTTGACAGAAAGGGGCATTGCCTCCTGTTCAGCTTGATTCAGTGGAGCCTGTGCCTATAGAGCATTTCAACTCTTTGAAAGTGTTTTGTGATCTTCCTATGAGCTATTCTTCTCAACAATGTATGACATAGCTAGTAGGCATTATTATCTATAATTTAGTGAAAGGGAAGTGAATCAAAAACAGGTTGAATGACTTGTTCAACACTGCAGGAAGTCACAGCCGAGGCAGAGGAAGAACCTACAGCTTTGTGCTGGCTCCCCATCTGTTGCTAAGCCCCATTAGCTGTGTTTCCTACCTGTAACCAGTAATTAGCCAAACTAAGCGCTGCCAAATAAGGACATTGCATTGATTTTTTTCCAGCATTTTCCCTCTTCTGAACTTTGTCATTTGACTTGCAAAACGTTATAAAAATAGCCTTTTCTCTCTCCCTCCCCCAACAAAAAGAGCCCACGGGAACAATAAAAAGAAGAGTGAGCTGAAGTTCATTTATTCTGAGGATTGAAAGCACAAGGAGTTAATATTTCTAAGTGCTGTGGCGGATGCTGTGAGAGAGGCTGGTAAGCCTTGAGAGAATTGTGCTCTACTTAAATGACAAGTACCAGGATCTGATTGATATTCTGTGTAAAGTTTTCCCCAGTTACATGGTTTTTCCTTGGCACCTATGATTTATGGAATATCCCTGTATTAATTAGGTATATGCTAGTATTTTGGAGGGTGAGGGAATAAGACAATTATCTAGCATCGAATTGCATAATATATACAATTTATTGAAAAGACTTGAGTTTAGAAACTGGGAGAAAAGTTTAAACACTTTCTTCAGGTGCCATAATGGAAAATGCTGTCATGAATAGATAGCAATCCCCTAAATATGAAAACAAAAAAAGTAACTTCTTTAGTAGGAAAAAAAAATGTTAAAAACCACAGCAATCCCTGACTCAGCAAACATGAGCAGTTGATAAATGCACCTGCTACCTTGTCTAAAGCTGATCTAGCCTTTTCAGGATGGCCTTATCAAGTTAAGATCTTGTTGGAGAGTAATGAACATGAGAAAAGACGCTGCTCCTCAATTGCTCATCATTAGAGCACTGTACGCGGCTTGAGGGAGACCAGGGACCAGGATAAATCAGTGCTTTTAACCTCCTGATAATTGGTGCTCAAATTGCAGAATCCGGGTATTATTCTTGGCTAAAGTATCTGCCACATGGCTAGACAGCTGTATACATTAATATGTTGAAGATAAAGTGATGCCAGCACTTATCCTTGCAAAGCGAATTAGCAGAATTGGTTTACATGTGAAAGTGACCCAGTATGTCACACTGAGCAGTTTCCTTGTACCTCAGTTTCTCCCACATGTAATAAGAATGACAGTTACTTCTGAAGAGGGCAAGTGAAAGCATACAAGATATGAGTTTACTTTTAATTGAAGGTCTACATAAATGTAAAAGCAAACCTACATTTTGCTGAAAGTTACCTATGTGAATGAAACATTTGTTAAATACCTACTTGTATGTAAATTCTAGGCCATTACAAAAGGTATTTCTAAATATCACAAGAAGCCTGCAGAACAGGTGACTTAGGATGAGCGGCACTATTCACAATAGCAAAGACTTGGAACCAACCTAAATGTCCAACAATGATAGACTGGATTAAGAAAATGTGGCACATATACACCATGGAATACTATGCAGTCATAAAAAATGATGAGCTCATGTCCTTTGTAGGGACATGGATGAAACTGGAAACCATCATTCTCAGCAAACTATCGCAAGGACAAAAAACCACACACCTCATGTTCTCACTCATAGGTGGGAATTGAACAATGAGAACACATGGACACAGGAAGGGGAACATCACACACAGGGGACTGTTGTGGGGTGGGGGAAGTGGGGAGGGATAGCATTAGGAGATATACCTAATGCTAAATGATGAGTTAATGGGTGCAGCACACCGACATGGCACATGTATACATATGTAACAAACCTGCACGTTGTGCACATGTACCCTAAAACTTAAAGTATAATAATAATAATAATAATAATAATAATAATAATAATAATAATAATAAAAGAACGACCTGTGTATGTTGCTAAAGATGAGAGTGGTGAGATCTCTGATTGTAGGGTCAGATAGCAGAGCTCCAGAGACCCTATTTGAAATATTTTGGCAATACCCAGGAAATCCAAAAACGAGCACCTCTTTTTATTATCTGCAGTCTCTTAGTCTTGCTCAGTCCTCGATCAATTTTTTTTTATAAAGCTATTTCCAAGAACATTGAATCTTCCTCCTGTTTGTTATTTTTCTGTCAGACTCAAGTGTGGCATCCTTGGGCACCCTGAGGCATCCAACCACAGGTTGACAGGACCCCTGCTGTAAGTAGCAGATAGGCTCCTTCCACCCCTAACCCATTCTAAAGGTTCTGGCTTCTTTCCCTAACTTCCACTGTAGTGATAGAGGTAGAATATTCTAAGAACCCGGAGCCATGGGCTTGACATTCATTTAATGTTCATAACAGGCAAGGCCTTCGTATTTACAATTTTAGGGTGATGCACTTAATAATTTGTGGTAGGCCCAGAAGTGCATTATTATGGTTTTCTAGTGTTTCTAAGATAGTACAGAAAGACTAGTGGTCATAATTACTTAGCCTAGCTTAGGAACGGGTCTGCTGATGAGGAGCAATCCCAGGAAGTCTCAGATCCTTTTCTAGGCTGTGAGCAGCAGTGGGATGATTATAACGCCCAGAGTGGTCACTTTGTTTGCCATAGACCTATCTTTATCTAGTTTGCTTAAAAGGAATCCATCAGATTTCTTTGTTCCCATCTTATACATATTCATTTATACAAGATGGACAGGATGCATTGCACAATGAACAATTCACTTTTCACTAAATCTTTCCAGGATATAAACATATATAAAATACATTATTTTACAAACAAATATCACAGTTGGGCTGCCATATAATAAGATGATTATGATTATAGGTTCTGGAATTGGTTTCTGGGATTTTTACCTGTGCAGTTTAGAAAACTTTACTTCATTTAAGTATTTGGCTTCCTCTTGTATAGAATACAAGAAAAATAGAATCTGCATTATAGGGTTATTTTCCATAGTAAATTTGATAATGTATATAAAGCACCGAGCAAAGGTCCTAACACATACTGAACACTTGACAATTGTTTTTAAAAGTACATCTGTATAAAGGTATACAAAGAGCACTTACAATGGAAGCAGTGCAGCTCATTGGTAGAATAGACACCTTGTGTAATGAATTTACTCCATTACAATAGATATCTCATCCAAGAGGGAAAATGTGTAGATAGATTAAAATGGCTTCCCCTGCTCACACAGTGATTGATCAAGCCAGAATCAATTCAGGAATCCAGTCCAGCTTGTCTCTACACATAGGCTCTTTCAGTCTTCAAGCTCTGCCTCTAATAACATAGCTCTGTCTGCTATATGTATAATTAGCATAAACAAAAAGCAAAGAAATAAAATAAAGCTTCCTAAAAACTGCTGTCACCTTCATCCCACTTCCTTTTTCCATAATTCTTTATAACTCTTTATCCTTTCATTATCCTGGAGGACAGACATATAAGGCTGGTTCTGACCACCTGATTTTTACTGTAGAAAACTTACTATTCCTACAATTCTAGATGGATAATGTTTATAGGGAGTGCCACACCTTATGGGACTTTGTAATTTTAAAGAAGATTCTTAAAGACTAGAGTGTATAATATTCAAGAGAATGAGTCACTATTTGCAGAATTTAAGCATTATAACAGAGGAGGCAAGAGAAAACTAAGATATAAGGAAAGTAATACTTTGTTTTAGTTGAAGAACTTTTCTAAGATGCTCAAATCTTCAGGAAATTGCCTGTCGCATATAACACTTCTCTGCTTATAGTTTGTTTTATTTTCTTTTGGTTTCTGTTTTCCTGCTGTACAGTACAGAAGTTCAAATATTGTAATCATTTAGAAAAAAATCAGTCACCCTATGACTGGTCTATGAAAATATAGGCTAGATTGTAAAAGTTGTTATTTTAAAAAAAAACAACAAGCAAGCATAAGTCTCATTTGCCCCACGAAATTTTATGATATTCTATAAAATATTTTATCATATAAAGACAAATCAGCATTAGATAACCTTTAAAAAGGTCATTTTTATAAGTAAAAATTAAGTGAGCATAAAATGATGCTTGATAGATATTATAATTTAGTGACAAGCAATATAGTTCACATAAAAATAGTAATTAACAATAGGGCCTTTAAAAAATATCATAGAGGGCCAAGCATGGTGGCTCATGCCTGTAATACCAACACTTTGGGTGGAAGAGGCAGGTGGATCACTTAAAACCAGGAGTTCGAGACCAGTCTGGCCACATGGCGAAACCCTGTCTCTACTAAAAAACAAAAATTAGCTGGGCATGGTGGTGCACACCTGCAATCTCAGCTACTTGGGAGGCTGAGGCATGAGAATCACCTGAGCCTGAGAGCCAGAGACTGCAGTGAGCCGAAATCATGCCACTGCACTCCAGCCTGGGCAACAGAGAGAGACTGTCTCAAAAAAAAAAAAAAATTCTGAATCTTTATGATTAAAGAAATAAAATCAAAACCCTGGATTTATATGAGACGTCTTAGATTTCAATAAAATAATAAAAGCACCAGAATCTAAAAATACATCTATGTCTTAAGGTATTGATAACAATAGAAATTCACCAATATCTATGAGAAACTACGGTCAGTGTTACAGCTGCTTAATAATATTTCCAGGACTCTTTCCATTCTGGGCATCCTTCCCCTTGTAGTCAAGACTGGTCATGGAACTTGCTTTGTTTATTTAAATGATAGAAAAAAAGTTAATATTTCAGCCTGAAATATTTAATTGTCAGTGTTGAATCTCTAACTCTTTTCTCCCCTTTGATGTTGATTGTGGAAGAGGGCTAGTATTGAGATACTGGGGACGAAAGATTGTAGGGGTCCCCGTCAACTTTTGAGGGTTGCCACTCTGGACTCACAGAGGACTTTGAGTGATGAAAACCACACTTTTATACATATACATAAAGTGAGATATAAACATCCCTATATATGTTTATGATTATATATATCTAGATCATAGAGTCTTATGAATCGGAAACTGAGTAAAAAAGTTAGCAATCCAGCAGTATGTGTTCCATGTTCTAATGCATGAAATGCCCTGTATATAAGCATCTTTTCAAGTCTTGGTTTCACCACTTGCTAGCTATATGAACTTGAGCAAGTTTATAAATCTCTCTGTGCTTCATCGTTACATTGGAACAAACAGCTAAGGATAATTTCTACTTCCTTGAGTTGAAATAAGGATCAAATGAGATGATTCATGCAACATGCTTAAATGCAACTGTCATAGTACATGTTTGATACAGCTCTGGTTATTATTACTAATACTATGATTAGGGGCATGATAGCCATGCAATGTTCTCAGGCTAACCAAATCTGTGCAAATGAAAGATGATTTATAATGGTGTTTTCTGTAACAATGTATTTAGAACAGTTACTAAAAATGGTGACTGAGAATTATTGTTTGCGAAGAAAAGAAGCCTACTCAAACTAGCATAAATAAGAGAGGTTATTATAATTCTCACAGGCATCTAAGCTCGAGAAACACAATACAGCAGAGCCCAGGGTTTACTTAACACAAATCCTTCAGCACCCAACAGCTCCCCTCATTTGGCTTCTCCCTACATCTGCTTCATTCTCCTCATTCTCCTAACCAGTCTCTTTTCTTCCTCCTCTTGCACATGGTCCAACATTACCACCAATTACAATTCCTTACCAGGAGTTTCAAATTCAAACACCCACCACTGCCTCTCCAAATTATTTATGTTTTCAAAAGATATCTGGTCAATTTTGGTTATCCAATAGATTGAGGCACACATTGGGTTTAATGAGCCACAACCTGGGTAAAGCGTAGCATAAGAGTGCTGCTTCTAGAAGCTATGGAAAAAAAAAAAAAAAAAAAAGTAATAGAACTTTCTAAAACAGAAAGAAATAAAATAAGTGTTTTTAACCTTGAAGTTTTTTTAAGCTCTATTTTATATCTAGCCATTTTGATTAGCTATGTTCTCATAAATCTTGTTTATATGTATTGTAAGTTTCAAAAGAATGTGCAGCAGGTCTTCTTTTCCTATTTTATATATATTGGTATCATCCTTATTGACTTTACTTAATGAAAAATTGCCTTCTCAGTGTCATCAGTATTGATCTTGATGAGGGCGAAAGTGGCTGTTAACTCTCAAAATCATCAGAAAATATTTAGTCATTTCCATTGATTCTATGAGAAATAGATGAAGTGTTCATTTCCTTTCCTGCAGTGATAACACTTAACTCCACAAATGGAAAAAATCTGTATCTTCATGATTAAAGAAATAAAATCAAAACCCTGGATTTATATGAGACGTCTTAGATTTCAATAAAATAATAAAAGCACCAGAATCTAAAAATACATCTTTGTCTTAAGGTATTGATAACAATAGAAATCCACCAATATCTATGAGAAACTATGGTCAGTGTTACAGCTGCTTAACAGTATTTCCAGGACTCTTTCCATTCTGGGCATCCCTCCCCCAGTAGTCAGCGCTGGTCATGGCACTTGTTTGTTTATTTAAATGATAGAAAAAAAAGTGAATACTTCAACCTGAAGTATTTAATTGCCAGAGTTGAATCTCTAACTCTTTCCTCCCCTTTGATGTTGATTGTGGAAGAGGGCTTGTATTGAGATATTGGGGACGAAAGACTGTAGGGGCCCCCGTCAACTTTTGAGGGTTGCCGCTCTGGACTCACAGAGGACTTTGAGTGAAGAAAAACCACACTTTTATTTTGTTAAGCCACCGAGATTTTGGGGCGAGGGTTGTTTGTTACCACAACTTGATCAAACCCATCCTGAAAGATTGGCCCAGCTATAATATATCAATGTTTGTTCTCTCTCCTATTAAAAATAAACTCCTGCAAGGTGAAAAAAAAGTTCCTCACAGAACCTTCTCTATATCAAAATGTGGCTAACTTTGGTCCACATGGATGATTGGAAATGAAAGAAAACCAGAATTAATGACAAAATTTAGCTAAAACTTTTACTGCCTTGCTAAAAATTAATCTTTTCTCAAAGGTAATAAGCCAAGGGTCAGCAGAATGGACAATTACTGTTATACATTTTCAGCCCATCATTTCTAACAGTTTGTGGGACAAAAGGAAAGGAACAAAAGGACAAAAGGAAAATGGTTAAAAAGAAACTCAATGATATAAAATTAGTCAATATTATGTTTAAATAATTTTCAAAGGATATATTGAGAAAAAAGGATTAAGAGGAAATATAAAAATGTTAAAGAGAAATTATATTATAGGAGAAAAACATAGGGTTATTTTTCTCATTATTCTAATTTACCTATTTTTAATAATTTGGTTATACTAGCTCCTTCCTTCCTTCCTTTCTTCCTTCCTTCCTTCCTTTTACTTTTTTTTTTTTTTTTTTGGCTAAAATTACACACACTTATTAGCTTAGTTTGTGTCAGGAATCTGGGCACAACTTAGCTGAATCCTGTGCCTCAGGGTCTCATAAAGATTCCAAGTGTCAGCTGGTACTGTGTTTCATCTGAGGCTTGACTGGGGAATGATCTGCTTACAAACTCACGTGGCTGTTGGCACATCAGTTTCCCCAGGGCTGTTGAACTCTGGGCCTCAGCTCCTTGCAGGCTGCTGGCCAGAGGCTGACCTCAGTTCCTAGAGGCCTCCATCATTTTTTTTCTAGATATGTCCTATTTGTCCCTAGAGATCCAGTTTCCAATAGCTGTATGCTCCAGGAGGCTGACTTCTATGGAGTGTGTCAACTGCATTCCTTCACCTTCTAACTTCTGGTTGGGGTTGTCCAGTGGGAGACACTGGCAGGAAAGTAAAGAAGGAGGAGATTGAGTCTGTGTTTCTATTCCACTGGTTCCTTCTCTGCCTGGCCTTGGGTTGGATGCTTTTTTTTTTTTTTTTTTTTTTTTAGCAAAGGTCACAGCATTTTTGCTCCAGCTGCCTTCAGCTCCAGCTATTGTCTCTGGATTCTGGTCACTGCTTCCTCCCTTTGCCACTTATATAGAATAATGGTAATGGATCCCCCAGTTTATTGGCCCTAGAAGGTTTCACCGTCACTACTTGTTTCCCTTAATCTTCTGGTATCTTTGAAAACATGTCTTTATTACAAGCTTTCTGTTTACCTAATTTTACTCTGCCATCTGCTTGTCCATGACCCTGACATAACCACCTTTAAGAAAAATATCCTGACCTTAACCTACTTTGCAATAGCATCAACCATTTCTTCCTATCATTTTTGCCCCAATGCTTTTTAGTGTGGGAAAATACGTGTACCTTAAAATTTACTATCTTAACCATTGTTAAATGTATATTTTAGTAGTGTTAAATACATTCCTATTATTGTGCAATCTTCATCAACATCCATATCCAAAACTTGTTTTATCTTGCAAAACTGAAACTCTATATCCATTAAAAAATAACTTTCCATTTCCCCTCCCCACAGGTCCTGGCAGCCATCATTTCTGCCTCCATGATTTAAGCTACTCCGAGTACTTCATATGTGGAATCATACAGTATTTTTATTTTTGAGACTGGCTTATTTCACTTAACATAGTGTCTTCCAGATTCATCCATGTTGTAGCATGTGTCAAAATTTTCTTCCTTTGTAAGGCGAGTATTCTCTTGTACATACATTTTGCTTATCTGTTAGCATCAGATTTTGCTTATCTGTTCATCTCTTGATGACCACTTGGGTCGCTTCCATGTTTAAACCATTGTGAATAATACTGCTATGAACTAGGGTGTACAAATATTGCTTCAAGACTCTGATTTCACTTTTTGGGGGTACACACCTAGAAATGGAATTGTTGGATCTTATGGTAATTCTATTTTTAATTTGTTGAAGAACCATCATACTCTTTTCCACAGAAGCTGTACCATTTTACATGCTCACCAACAGTGCACAAGGTTTCCAATTGTTCCACATTCTTGCCACTTGTTATTTTCTATTTTTATGATAGTAGCCATCCTAATAAGTATGAGGTGATATCTCATAATAATTTTATTTTCATTTCCTTGTTGATTATTGATGTTGAATATCTTTTCATATGCTTATTGGTCATTTGTATATCTTCTTTGGAGAAATGTCTGTTAAAGTTCTTTGCCCATTTTTGAAGCATGTTGTTTGTTTCTGTTGAGTTTTAGCAGTTTTTGTATATTATGAATATTAATCCTTTATCACAGATACGATTTGCAAATATTCTTTCATTCTGTGGGTTGCCTTTTTACTCTGTTTATATTTTCTTTTGGTGCATAATCATTAAAAATTCTTATAAAGTCCAATATGTATATTTTTTATTCTGTTTTCTGTCCTTTAGCGTCATATGCAAAAAATCATAGCCAAATCCAATGTTGTGAAGCTTTTGCCCTAACTTTTTTCTAAGAATGTTATAGCTTTAGGCCTTACATTTATATCTTTGGTCCACTTTTAGTTAATTTTTATATATGGTATTAGGTAAGTGTCAAACTTCGTATTTCACATGTAGATACCCAGTTATTGCTGCACCATCCCTTGAAAATACTTAGTTCCATTAAATGTTCTTGGCACCCTTGTCAAAAAGTATTTAACCATATATTTGAGGATTTGTTTCTGGGCTATTTATTCTATTCCATTAGTCCATGTATTGTTCTTTATGCTAGTGCCACACTCTTGACTAATGTAGCTTTGTAAGTTTTGAAATCAGGAAAGATAAGTCCTACATCTCTGTTCTTTCTCAGCATTGTTTTGAGTATTCAGGGTCCCTTAAGATGCCATATGAGTTTTACAATAAGTTTTTCGATTTCTGCAAAAAAACAATGTTGGGATTTTGATAGGTATTGCATTAGATCTGTAAATCACTTTGGATAGTATTGACATCTTAACGATATTAAGTCCTCCAAGTCATAAACTTGGAATATCTTTTCATTTATTGATGTCTTCTTTAGTATCTTTTAACAATACTTTGTAGTTTTAATCAGACAAGGCTTTTACCCCCTTGGTTACATTAATTCCTAACTATTAATTCCTAACTATCTTTTTGATGCTCTTGTAAATGGAGTTCTTTTCTTAATTTCCTTTTTGGATTGATCATTGGGAAGAATACAACTGATTTTGTGCATGTTGACTTTATGTCTTGCTACTTTGCAAGTTTTTTATTTCAAACATTTTTTGTAGAATTTTTCAAGATTTTCTACTTATAAATCATGTCACCTATGAAAAGAAATAATTTTACTTTTTCCTTCCCAATTTGAATGCCTTTATTTCTTTTTATTGCCTAATTGCTCTGACTAGAACTTCCAATATACTATGTTGAATAGAAGTGGTAAAAGTGGGTAACCTTGCCTTGCTCCTGATCTTAGAAAAAATCCATTTCATCTTTAAGCATTGAATATGATGTTTGCTGTGGGTTTTTCATATATTACTTTTATTATGTTGAGATAGTTTTCTTATATTTCTAGTTGATTTTTTTTTAATCACGAAATGGGGTTAGATCAAATGCTTTTTTCCTGCATTATTTGAAATAATATGTTTTTTCCTCTCTTCATTCTGTTAATATAGTGTATTACATCAATTGATTTTTGTACGTGAGAATATCCTTGCATTCCAGGAATATATCTCACCTAGCTATGGTGTATAATTTTCTTAATATACTGATGAATTTGGTTTGCTATTATTTTGTTGAGGATTTTTCATCATGTTTGTGAGGGACATTGGCCTGTAATTTTCTTTTCTTGTAATGTTTTTATCTGACATTGATATGAGGTTAATGCTGGCATCATAAAATGAGTTTGAAGGTGTTCCCTCCTCTACAATTTTTTGGGAAAAGTTTAAGAAGGATTGATGTTAATTCTTTAAAGGCTTGATAGGATTCACCAGAAGTGATCAGGTCCAGGGCTTTTCTTTGTTTGGAGATTTTTTATTAGTGATTCAGTCTCCTTACATGCTATAGGTCTACTCAAATTTATCATTTCTTCATAATTTAGTCTTCCTAAGGTTTGTGCTTTTAGGAATTTGTACATTTTCTCTAGGGTAGCCAATTTACTGACTTATAATTTATCTCCAACTTTTAAATAGCTGTCTATTTCTCCCTTAAATTTTGTCTACTTTTGCTTCATATATCCTAAAGATCTGATATTAGCTGCATAAATTTTTATAATTATTATATATTCTTGCTGTACTCAGCCTTTTGTGAATACATAATGTTCTTTTTGTCTTTTGTAATTTTTTTTACTTAAACTCTACTTTGATATTAGTAGAGCTGTCTCACTCTCTTTTGGAGACAATCTGTATGCAATATCATTTTATACCTTTTTGCTTTACATCTATTTGTATTTTGACTCAAAAAGTGTATCTCTCATAGATACACATAGTTGCATCATGTACTTTTTTCCATTTTGCCAGTCTCTGTCATTTGAGTGGGGAATTTAATCCATTAACTATTAAAGGGATTACTAATACAAAAGAACTTGTTTCTCTCATTTACTACTTATTTTCTATATGCCTTCTAGATTTTGTTCCTCATTTCCTGCATAACTATCTTTTTCTGTGTTTGGTTAAATTTTTTGGCAGTGAAACATTTAATTTAAATTTTTTTCTCATTTATTTTGCTGTGTATACTTTTTACCTATTTTCCTCGTAGTAACCATGGGCATTACACTTAACATGCTAAAGTTATTACACTCTAATTTGAATTTTTACCAGTTTAACCACAATAATATACAAAACTCTGCTCCTCCAAGAACTCCATCTCCATTTCCTTTAGTTGTTGGTATCACAAAATTATATCTTTATAGCTTATGTGCCCCAAAACATGAATTAAAAATTTTTAATGCATTAATTTATTAATTTATGTATAAAGCAAATTGTGGAGTTATAAAACGAAGTTGCGACAATACTAGCTTTTAGGCAGATAAAGGTTTTTTTAAAAAACTATATTAGTTTCTTAAATCATGATAAAAAATGTTGAGTTATACACTATTGTTACAATACTACTAGCTTCATAATTGTCCACTTATTTACCTTTACAGAGATCTTTATTTCTTCATACATCTTGAAGTTCTTTCTAGTGTTCTTTCATTTCAACCTGTAGGAGTTTCTTTAGTATTTCTTGTAGAGCAGTGTAATTGGAACAAACTCCTTAAGCTTTTGTTTATCCTGCAATTCTCCCTCATTTTTAAAGAACAGTTTTACTGTTCTTTAGCACTTACAATATATTGGCCAACTACCTTTTGGACTACAAAGTTTCAGAGGAGAAATCTGATGAGAATGACATTGAGGATTTCTTGCAATGTGACAAATTACTTCTTTCTTGCTGCTTTCAAAATGCTCTTTTTGTCTTTGGCTTTCAACAGATTGTTGATAATGTGTCTTGGTGGCACTCTTTGAGCTTATCCTACTTATTGTTTGTTAAGCTTGTTGGCTGTTTTTATTCATGTCTTTTATAAAATTTGGGAAGTTTGGGGGCAATATTTTTTAAAATAGTTTCTTCTCATCTTTTCCTCTCTGTTCTTCTTGTGGGAGTACCGTATGCATATATTGGCTCACTTAATGGTGTTCTACAAGTCCCCCTGACTGGTTAGTTTTCCGCAATTTCCTTTCTTTCTCTTGCTAAGTCTCGATAATTTTCATTATCTTGTTTTTAAGTTCACTAATTCTTCTCCCTGCTCAAATCTGAAGTTTTCAGTTCTAAAATTTCTCTTTAGTATTTTTAGGTTTTCTATTTCTTTATTGATATTGCTATTTTGTTGATATATTCTTGACTTTTTCCACATATTTCTTTTGTTCTTTTAGCATATTTAAGACAATTGTTTTAAAGTCTTTGTCTAGTAGATCTGTCATCAGGTTTTTTCAGGGTCAGTTTCTGTTGGATTATTATTTGTTTTTCTCTTTAAACGGTTCATACTTTGCTGTTTCTTGTTTTATTTTGTAATTTTTTTATTGAAAACTGAACATTTGAATCCAATAATCTGTTAACTGTGGAGATCAGATTTTCCCCCTTCCTAGGGTTTGCTGTTTTTTGTTTCTTGGATTTTTGTTTTTGGTTTTGTTTTTTTGTTCCTGTTTATTTGATTATCATAGGCTTTCTCTGTGCCAAGCACTAGCTCGAGATGTAAACAGGTCTTCTCAAGTCTTTTGTGAGCCTGCCCCCTCCCCAGGCATGTGCAGTAGTTTTCTAATCTCCCTGTATATGCCGTCACCTTTGATTTTCCTAATATTCAGTGTCTAGCTGTTGAAAAAGGAAAAAGAGAAAAATAAAGGAGAAAAAAAATATGTTAGCCTTTTAAATCTCCTAGAAATCAGTTCAACCAGACAGGGAGGGACTGGCAAGAATAGGGGGAGGTGCAACAATGATGCCTGTTACCTATTTGCTTCTGTGTGATCAGAAGCAGCTGTCAGTGATCAGATCACAGATTTCAGATATTATGAAGACAGTGTCCCTTTTTCCCACCCCTTGCTCCTATAACCTGTGTGCAAGCTGCTTCAGGAACACATTAGTAGCTACTTGCCAAGTGTCTGAGGGGTGGAAGATGGTTAAGTACTACTGTTTTAATACCTAAAAATGTCCAAAATTAGCCACTATTTACTGTTGAAGTCCTCCCCTGAAACTTCTCTTGAAGTAGCAAGCCTTCAATAGACTCTGGAGTTCCAAAATAGTTACATCAGACAGATTCTTTGAGTTCAATTTTTGTCTAGGTGTACAGACAGATTCCTAATACTATCTACTCCACTATCTTCCCAGAAACCTGATATTACTTTTTAAATGAATAGGTACAACTAATTACATAAAAAGACTATAGAGAGAATGAAGGTAAGTCAAATAACACAAAGAAAAAAACATTAATCTGGAATGTCTAATAGTTGACCACCTCAAAATAAAACTCCCACTAAATGTTGACATGTTAACACACCAGATATTTGAAAAATTAGGCTATATTTTAGGTCTGTTAATATACTTTCTATTGTGATAAAGGGTAAAACAGTCCTTTTATTGGCCTTTCAAAAAACTTCACTCCAAAGTGAATGATAATTAAAGTGCAACCTTTCGGGTAATAACAATATCTACATAAACCTTCCAATTCACATAATTTGTATAATTCGTACCCACACTGAAGAATGTGTTTTATTTGATGGTGGCAAGGATCACTAGAAAATGAAAATTACCAGCATCTTAGGCTGTATTTTCAACTTAGATTATAAGATTTACTGTATGCCATCTGATTTTTAAATATTTTTTCCCCCAAAGTAATTGGTTTGGGTCTGGGATTTTTGAACTGCCATCACCCTTTGTAAAATTAGAAAAGTTGGAAAAATTGAAATGAAAGAATAATGGGATGCTCAGTCTTTCTTGTGGACTAATGTTCTTAGACAAATAATCCTCTCATCATTATTTGCTCACCTGACTCCCTAAATGAATCATTTTTATTCCAGGGTAGCAATCTGGCTCTGTTCTTTTTGAAGATCTGAATAAAGGTGCACTTTCCTTTAATTTTACTCTTAATTTATTTTCAAACATATTTCAAAATTTTGATAGTTGTTTAATACCTGTATTAGGCTGTTCTTGAATGGCTATAAAGAAATATCTGAGACTGGGTAATTTCTAAAGAAAAGAGGTTTAATTAGCTCATGGTTCTGCAGGCTATACAGGAAGCATGATGCTGGCATCTGCTCAGCTTCTAGGGAGGCCCCAGAAAGCTTAAAATCATGGTGGAAAGTGAAGGGGGTGCAGCCATGTCACTTGGCAAAAGCAGGAGCAAGAGAGAGAGAAAATGTGGGGGAAAGTGTCATACACTTTTAAATGACCAGATCTAGTATGAACTCAGAGACAGAGCTCACTTATCACCAAGGGGATGGCCCAAACCATTCATGAGGGTCTGTCCCCATGATCCAAACACCTCCCATCAGGTCCCATCTTCAACAATGGGGATTACATTTCAACATGAGATTTGGGCAGGGACACATATCTAAACTATATCAATATCACTGGCATCACTGTAAGCTTGAGGCATATTTTTTTAATCCATCTGGGAGAGAAAAATTTTGGCTTAAAACCATGAAAATACAAAATATAGAAAACATTTTTGGGGTAAAAGACATATATTTTATTTGTTGCTTTTGTTGTTGTTGTTTTGAGACGGATTCTCACTCTGTCGCTAAGCTGGAGTACTGTAGCACAATCTCGGCTCACAGAAACCTCTGCCTCCTGGGTTCAAGCAATTCTCCTGTCTCAGCCTCCCGAGTAGCTGGGATTACAGGCACGCACCAACACACCCAGCTAATTTTTGTATTTTTAGTAGAGATGGGGTTTTGCCATGTTAGCCAGGATGCTCTTGACCTCCTGACCTCGTGATCTGCCCCCCTTGGCCTCCCAAAGTGCTGGGATTACAGGCATAAGCCACCGCGCCCAGATGAAAGATATATGTTTTAATGTCTCACTTTATTGTCAAAACATTGACACCAGAGATTTAAATAAAATATGACATAGTTTCTAGAACCCTCAGCTTAAGGCAACAATAGGAGGATTAAAACCTCCCATTAGGACAGAGGGTAAGTATGGATGAGTGAAACTATGGATCAGCCTCAGTCTTCTGAGTAAAAAGCTTAAGAAGAAGCCATGTTCCTAGGGTTAGGAGGAAATAGGATCAGAGCCTATTTTAGCCAGGGACAGCATAAGGGAGCTCTAGTATTACTGTCAGGAGTCCTGTCAGGGAGAAATTAGTGTTGGTTGATCCCTAGGAAGATTAGGGATCAGTAAATACCAACCAGTGGTATTTACTGAAGAGTTAGTTGTAAGGCAAGAATCCAGTCCCTCTGAGATTATGTTTAATGTAGAATGTAAGTCACAAGAGAACTAGAGAAGAAATCTTTCTTCCTTCCTTTTCTCTTTCCCCTCTTTTCTTCCTTCCTTCCTTTAGCTATCCATTCATACAAATTTTTCAGCAAACAAATGTTGAATATCTATGGTATTGGCACCCACATTGAGTTCTCAAATTTATAACACACATTTCCTACTGCTTATCTTCATCAGCGCTTCTCTGTCTGTAATTCTGGGGTACCCCTCATTCTGCCTCCAGGATCAGTAGGCATCTGAGGGGGTGGTGTGGCAATGATTCTCACTCTTTTTATCACCTGGTTTTTGAATCCCTTTTCTTGTTTGGGAAATTCCACACTTTATGTGTTGCAAAGGAGTAGAGATAACAGGAGTGTAATTTCTTCAGCTTTCCTTGCAGCTTAGACACATGCAAGTGATGCAAGAATGGGTAACATAAGGCATCAGCAACTGATATTCAGTCTTGGGGGAATCAGCAGTGAAGGGTGGTGTTTGGTCCCAGCAACATAAAAACATGAGAGCCTTCACAGAACTGTGAGGTGAGAAATATGAGACAAATTCCTGCTTCTCTAGTCCCCTCCAAGAGATTCTGAATTACCCATTATCTAGTAATAAACAGTTTTTACTTAGCCAGACCTGGTTTCTGATGCTTGCAACTAAGAGCTCAGAATCAGTTCTAAAATTCACCTGAAGTTCAAAACTCAACTCAATATTGTCTGAGTGAAATGTAGATAATAAGCTGCTCCAGAGGAGGCAACATTAACTAATAAGTGTAGCTTAACTGATAGAGAGTGAGTAGAGATAGGGACTTCCAGAGCAGATACCATTTAGAAATATAATTAACAAGGCTGGCAACTTCAATAATAATACAACAGCCATTAAACTCTAACTTCGGTGATAATGGCTGTGCTACTGTGTGTACATTAGCTCATTGTTTCTAAAGCCATCTCAGCCCATTTGCTAAAATTAAAATTTCCCAGGCTTTAATCCAGACCCATTCTATCAGAATTTGAAAGAAGCTGTTGAGGTATCTGTACTTCTTCTAAGCATTCCAGGTAATTCAAATATTCAGGAAAATGTTAGAAACAGTGTATTATTTGTTTAAACATCACACAAATCTGCAAATATCATGACTTGCATTTTACAGTTGAGGACACAGCTTCAGTGAAATTACTAATTCAGAAACACAAATAACTGAGTGGAAAATGCACACTATGGAGTCAAGTTTGTCTGAATCTGATTTTTCTCCTTATTATGTCATAATAAATCTAATCAAAGACTTTTGATAAATTCTTAAAAAAAAAAACCAGAAAGACACGGGTTCAACCTCAGCTCTACAATTACTACCTGTATAATAGAAAGCTATTTAACTTTCAGAGCTTCAGTCTCCCCATTTGGAAATAAAGCATTATAATAGGTAATTCTCTGGTGTATTACCTGAAATAAAATTTCTAAAATACAGTGCATGTTTCTTCCATCTCTCTTCCACTCTTTACTCAAGTTTACATTCTGTAATTTCAAGGAAGAGTATGTTAGTCATTTACTAAACCCATCTTTCTCCCTCTTGTGTGCACAGATAGACTACATTTCTCAGCCTCTACTTGCTATGGCCAGGCTCCTGAGTTCTGGCAGATTCCTGGCCTGACCCTAAGTACTCACTGACTCTTTCTTTTCTCTTCATATCCAGTCATTGAATGCAGAGAAGAGTGGAGCCAAAGCTGGAAAGAGCCAGGTCCCTGAATATGACTACACTGAGTAATGGTTAGACTACACATCAGTAAGACAGTCGCTATTGTGTTACACTATTGAGATATTTATACCTATATATTACCCAGTTAACATGATTAATACAGAGAGAAAATGCAAGTTCGTATATGTTACATAATTTTAAAATTTTGTTTGGTTAATTGTGCTTAAGATTGCAATTTGATCAAACATACAATAACTAAAATTATTTGGGGTCTCCTGCTACCATGGCCAAAGGCACTACCCTGTAAATTCAGCTCTATTGAAGATGTGGACCCATCTTAGCATGAGAAACAGAAAATTTATGGGTCACTTCCTATGGGTTCAGAAACAGTCTCATTGTTACTCTTGCAATAACTTAATACTACACTTCCTGGATCTTGGAACTACTCTTCACAACTCAAACTTCTGAATTGGATCTTTATTAGCTTCTGTAGGGCCTTTTCATCATAACCTCCCCCACTACTTCTATCTATTACCTATTCTTGCTTTGTTAAAGATATTGGGGCCAGCCTGCTGGTTACCAAGGACCTAGATGTAGTCTTCTGTTGTGATATTTATTACCCATCTGTCCTTGAGTCCTCTTATTTCTTCTAGTTTGAAAACATCTCTTTCCTCAGTATCACATGTGGGCTCTGGTTTCAGCCACTTGCTGAACATTCAAATGCCTGTAGTCCCAACAGAGACACTAAGTACCCGTTTCCATAAGCATGAGCCAATGGAGGAAGTTGCTAGTCTAACAAACTGGCAAATGGGGGCACCCACCTTCTGGTCCCAAGCTTCCTGTTTACCTAGGAACCTGGTTCCCCAACTCCTATGTCTGGGACTCTGCCGCATTCCGGACTCTAGATTTTTTAGAAACAAAAGGCATACTCCTGAGCTCCAGTCTTGGACACTAGATTGCCTCAATTTATTTATTTTTATTTGTTTCCCTGATCAAAATTCCTCGCTTTTGCCACCTGATCACATTTTGAAATCTAGTTATAATTTCCTAGGTCCCAGCTGGTGAATATCCAGGTAAAGATTCTGACCTTGCCTTCTGGAAGCTAATACTCTAATTGGGAAGAAAAGTTATAAATGCATATAAACCCACTAAGCAGAGTGATATGAAGGTAATCACAGAGAGTCTGACATGATAGAACAAGCCTTCTGGATTGGTCTGATAAGCACTGGGACACCATTGTAAGTAAGTACTGGAGAAGCCAAGGACCATGTGAAACAATGTCGTTTGCATATCTTGAATAAAACTGACAATGAATAATGTAGTTTATAAAATATACCTTTTTGGTAGATTACATGCACTGTTTATTATAATGATTCCAGATAATCTAAATGTTCTGACTAGGATATTTCTCAACTGGCTGACACCACTCCTTTCTAGCTCCTTACAAATGCTTTGCTGAGGCCTTGGTAGTGGTAGAAGTGGTGATGGGGGGCGGGGGGCGGGGGTGTGCAGGACAGGGAGTGTGACTTCTTTCCAAACATCAAGTCCCTAGAACATATAGATTTTTTTCCCTGATTTTCACTTTATCTGTGTTTCTAAGGTCACTCTATCTGCTTAAGTAGCACAACATTGAGAATAGGTTTAAAATTCAAGCAAATAAGACCCTGTTAAAGCATTGCAATGTGTAGACTCTGACACATTAGAAGTCCCAGTCTGATGAAAGGGAGTCTCTTTCAATATCCTCTTCATTAATCTTCTTTCAGTCTTCCCTCTTTCAGTGGCCTGTTCCCTACCTCTGACTCTTAGGAATGGTGCATGCTATGTGACTCACCTCTTATCACAGCCAGATCCTGCGAACCAGGAGTCAAAAGAAGCCCCAGTACTTTAGCTCAAACTGTTTTTAGCTTCTGCCACTCAAACCATTCTTACTGACATCCTCTACAATCTGCACCTAAATAATCTCAAAGCACTCCTCTCCATCCTGATGGGAGCTTCTGACTTTTAACTCTCTAAAAGGCCTTTAACTCACTTAAAATTTGCTCCATCTTTCTCACTCTGTCTTTTACCAAGATCACTTACCAGCAGGGATCAAATTCTACGACCATTCTCAGCCACATGAAATTCAAATTATCATTGGGCTTTTGTTTCTTCTGAGATAAGCCCTAGCATAACTACCACTTTGTTCAGCAATTTAATTAGAGATCAAGACCTATATCCAGATGCAAATGATTTTAGGAAGAATTTTTTTTGGTCATAGTCTAGTTCTATTTATTAAGTGTTGAAATCCATACATAGCACCCCCCCATACCCTCAAACATTAAAGTTAAGTATCACTGCAGTTATGTAAGATTTGCCAGTAATAGATGTCATCTTTCTACTTAATACTATGCAAATCTGAATCAGATAAGTTTGGAATTTCCCTAGAATACAGGAGATATAACAAGAATTGAGGAGAACTCTTTAACCTTAACTTTAGTGGTAAGAAAAAGTACTTAAATGTTCAGATGTGTAAAACTGCCTCAAAATAACCTTTTATGTTCCTGCTCTCTGCAGAAATATTTCCTAAAGCTTAGTAGAGCTAGGTAGAAATGGGCTCTGGATTAATTTTGACCTTCTGTGGCAATGCATTTCCAAGACCAAGAATTTATGTGTGCAGAATATTAAATGTCAAATGCAAATATGAAAATGGAGCTACACAGTTGCTGATAGTCCCTAATTGATATTGAGCAGACTATTCCCTTTAAATGTTAATGAAACTGTTGTAATTACTAAATGACCAAAACAGCTCAGAAGCCAGGGTTCACAGCTGTAAACCATTACTTGTAAATTACTGGCACAGGCCCGCATTAGCAGATGGCTCAGCCCATGGAAGAAAACTTTCTCAAGATGCTTTTCTTCCAGGCCTGGGCTCAGGAGCAAATTAGATGAGCATATTAGAGAGGGCCAGAGTGCCTGTTTGGACATGTCAGTGGAGATAAGCACCTCCTTTGATCTTCTTTTTTTTTTTCATTACATTCTTTACAGAAAGTGCTGAATATCACAGAACACAAAGAAAAGAGAAAGAGAAACTGACAGAGCCTATAAATGTTGCACGAAGGTTCAGATACATACAGTTCTGCTGGCTTTTTAAGGAGCAGTGTTTCCTATATCCTAAGGCAGATGGACATGTTGGGATGGAGGTAAATACTGAAAGTGGAGAGGTATGTGTGTGTGCGTGTGTGTGCGTGCGTGTGTGCGTGCATGCATGCGTATATGTGTGTGTGTGTGTGAGAGAAAGAGTGAGAGAGAGAGAGAGAGAAAGGGAAAAGAAAGAGATGGTGATAACAAGCCAGTGGCAGAAAAGCAATTAGAAGAAAAATAGGGCATTTGAATGGGCTTAGTAGCCTCAAGACAGAGAACGTCTATAAAGCTGTGTAAGCAAAACTATGCAGTAGAAGCAAGAGATGTCTTTATTAGAGAAGGCCTGTGGCTCTTCACAGCTTTGTTCTGTAAATTCCATACCAGCTTTGCAAACTCTCTAAGGTTATTAACTTTAGTGAAGATTTTTTTAAAGAGTTGGGTGCAGCCTAACCTTTCATTAATATAAACGAAAGATTAATTAAGACATCTGCCAAGAACAGGAAGAAAGAGGAGTTTCTCTCGTGATGTACACTACAACCTGTCCTAAACATGAAACAATGGAGTTTTCCTTGCCAGGAGCCACTCTGTAGAGAAGATGTTTAAAGGATAAAGTGTTTACAATCAAACCAGAGAGTACAGGGAATACCCACCTTCTGAACAGTTTGAATCCCAAAGTGATGCAGAAAGCATTTGTTAGTATTTCAAAATGTATCTTCATAGAAAAAAATATGATATCTGTTTCTACATTTAGAGAAAATATCAAATAAATCTAAGTAATCTCACTTTATGGTAGCAGAAAGGACAAAGTGTAGAGATATAGGTTGTGGGCTGGGATATGGGTCAGACTCACTGTGAAATAATCAGATATAAAAAATTGAAACATAATTTGAGAATTTTGTCAAGATAATGCATAATGCTTGATTTTCCAGGATATTTATGTTTTATGTCTAAAAACCTATAAGACCAGAATAATCAGTGTTAAAATTGACCCATAAAATCAGGAATGAATTATTAAAGTGCTAATAGAATGTCTTGAGTCTGGATCCTAGGCTTAGGAGGAACTGCAATGCAAGAAAAAGCATGATAAAGAGACTTGAATTCTTCTCTCTGGGCCCAGAACCTGTTTGTGCAATATTTTGAGTTACTTGATATTGGTCTTTAGTATTCTACCACTTTCCTGTCTTTCTTCATGAACGTCATTCACAGGGACCATGGAAACAATTTATTCCCAATGCCTTGTCTGCCAGTGCCTCTGACCTTCCATCCAGTCTTGCTCAACGTGATCATCTCTTTCTTTTTTCCTTCCCAACTTCCTTTCTTTTCTCAGGGGAGATGATCTTCAGATAGGTTTTAGAAGAATGCAAGCAAGCGTGTAAGCAATTTAATCTAATTCATAATGAGAGCTGGTCAGTCAATTCTTAACTCTTCCAGACATGGAAAGTATTTTTTGAAGTGAGTTATTATGCAGGTGTGGTGGTGTAGCCTGCAGAGAATTGCGTTCATAAACCTGGCCCTGACACTTCCTACACATGTGATCCTAAGCACGTTACTCAACTTATCTTCATGCCTCAGCTTCATCGTCTATAAATTGAGGTAATATTAGTATCTTCCCACAGGATTAATTTGAAGAGTATGAAATACTAAATATACTCTCTGACGGACATTAAGAGCTTAATAAATGCAATCCAAATGATTTTTGAATTGGCCAATTTTAGATAGCTTTACGCAGTGAAAGTAAGAGTCTCAGTCATGAAAAAGAATATTTTCCATCAGGAAAACTAATAAAAAGTAACTCATTTCCTGGTTTTGATAATTCAGTTATGCAAAAAGTTACCATTGTGGAAGCTGGGTTACGGGTAAATGAAACATTTCTGTATTATTTTTGCAACTTCTTGCATGTCTATGGGAAAATAAAAACTACAAAATAATAAATCAACACAGTCCTCTTTTGTCTCAAAGCCAAATTCATCAAGTTATTTTTGATATTGATAGTTATTTTTCTCTTTTGCTCTTGAACCATGAATTTTTGAAAGCCCTCAGATTTTTTGTGGCAATTTCCATGTCCATAGCTATAATACAAAGAGTGGTTCCAAAGAAGGTGTGTGTATGTGTGTGTGCGTGCATGTGTGTGTGTGTGTGTGTGTGTGGGCATGTACACATGCATGCATGTGCATGCTGAAGAAAAAGTCATATTGCATATTTGATTGTATTGATGTGAAAGGGATAACCATCTGTTTTTATTTTAATGTGTCATTTCTAGAGGTACTTGGGAAAAGGGAGGTTATCATGGTATGCTCTCAGAATCTGAATGACTGTAACTTACGATGTTTTGACAGTTAGCATAATGCAAGCGTGAAAGTGTGCTTGGATATTTTGAGATCATGGACCTTTCTGAGACTTTAAAGAAAGCTACAGACTCTTCCCAAGGAAGTGTGTTAAAACAAATTCAAGCAAATAATAAGCACAATTCATTTTTATTTGCTAGTAACTGTAATAGACATGGGAATGACACAATATGAGACATATGATAATAAATAAGGTAAATCTTGTCCCCTCCAAGTGAGAGATGGTACAGTAAAGAGATATTATAATCCAACATGACTGGTGCTATTTCCTGGGAGGACAGTGTGCTCTCACATAAGAGGAGCATCTAACACATGCTTGAAAGAATCAAGAAAGGCTTTCTAGAGAAAATGGCTCTAAGTTAAGGCTTGAAGCAAAAGTATAGGCATTGACCAGTTGATGAAGGAGGAGTTTAATTTGAAAATAAGTAATAGATCATTTGAAGATGTGGTTGCAGGAGAAAGCTCAGAAAAGCTAGAATATGGCATATGATGAAGACAGGAATAATAGATGAAATTGGAAAGGAGAACAAGGGCCTCATTCAGGACCTTGTAAGCCACATTAAAATATAATCTATTGAAGAGCACTGGAGAGTCTTTGCAGGATTTTAAGTAGAGTTAGATTTGCATTCTAGAAAGCTCACTTTGAGTGCTGTGGAATATGGACTAGAGAAGCAAAACTGAATGAGAGAAAGCAGCAATATGCCAATTGTGGCAACACGGAAAAAGATGACTGTGTCTTGTATTCTTGGCAAGGAACATAAAGAGAAGTGATTGAATTTGTAAGACTTTTGTAAGAGGTAGAATAGATATGATTTTTATTTGAATGTAAGAAGGATGAGAGAGGAAAATTGGAAGTTACTCTAAGATGCCTATGCTACGCCACTGGATAGCTAATGGTGCCACTCATTCAGATACGTACCAGAGAAGAAAGAAAAGTTTAAAAAGAAATAAATTTAAAAGTCTTGGGTTTGTTGAACGTTAATTTCTATAGGCCATCCAAATATCCGGTAGGACATTAAGATATGCAGCTCTGCTATTTACAATAGCAATGACATGGAATCAACCCAATGCCTATCAATAATAGATTGGATAAATAAAATGTGGTACATATACAACATGGAATACTATGTAGCCATAAAAAGTAATGAGACCATGTCCTTTGCAGGGACATGGATGGAGCTGGAAGCCATTATCCTCGGAAAATTAACACAGGAACAGAAAACCAAACACTGCATGTTTGTGGGAGCTGAACAATGAGAACACATGGACCCAGGGAGGGGAACAACACACACTGGAGCCTGTTGGCGGTAGTGGGGGTATGAGGGAAGGAAGAGCATCAGAAAAAAATAACTAATGTATACTGGGCTTAATACCTAGGTGATTGGTTGATAGGTGCAGCAAACCACCATGGCACACATTTACCTATGTAACAAGCCTGTTGCACATGTATCCCGGAATGTAAAATAAAATAAAATAAAATAAATAGTACCCCAAATGCAGTGCAGGACTCTGGATTCAATTCTGGAACAGAGAAAGGACATTTGTGGGAAAAAAAGGGGTGCAATCTAGGGTCTTTATATATAGATAATGGTACTGTATCAATGTGAATTTCTTAGTTTTGACTAATGCACTATGGTTATGTAAGATATTAGCATTATGGGATGCTGGTCAAGGCCAGATGGTGACTTTCTGCACTCTTTGTAATGTTTTTGTAAATCTAAAATGATTCCAGAATAAAAGGTGTATTTAAGAAATGGGGGAAAAAGATAAGCAGCTCTGGGCCTTGGAGAGAGATACAAAAATTAGTAGCAATTGAAAATAATTGAAGCCTCACCAGTAAATAAGACAATACAGAAAGAGTGACAGAACCTTCATGAATTCATGAGAATAAATGCTAAATTGCCGTAACTTAAAGACCCTGTAATACCTTGACTCAGAGGACAAAGAAGTTTCATTTTTTCTTCCTTAACAGTCCCAATGTGAAGAGACTCAGCTGGTAGGATAGCTCAACTCTACTTAGGCTTTTAGGGACAGTTATGTTTGGGTGATCTGCAATCCCATAGGTGTCATCGCTAGCCTGGTTAAAACTAGAGTACTGCCTTCTTTGTATTCTTGTCATTTGTGCCAATCAATTGTAACTGGAGAGAGAGAATAAAAAAGAGTGTATCTACAGGTGCATATTAGTTCACAGGTTTGGTGGTAGAAGTTAAGGAAACTTCCCTCTGTGAAGGAACAAAATCAAAGTCATCTGTTTGCGATCAAGAGGGGCATGGCAGGGTTATACAAATGTGCAAAGAAGTTTGGATTGTCTCCAAGCTTCCATGGATAATGAGAAATAAAGCTTTCTGGAAAAAGTGAATGGTCCAGACTGCTGTTCATTCTGGAGTGCCTAGCTAAGTTTATAAATCATATCTTTATACCTGTTGTACCAAACTATTCAATTGAAAAGTGGTAAAGATATAACATGGAAAAAAAATCTTTACAAAGATTTATGTCTTTCTTGCTCTAATCTATTTATACATATAGTTAAAAGCCCATTACTAAAAAAATTAAAATAGATCAAAATTCTGTAGATATGACAAAGTAAATTCTGCCCCAAAGAAAATGTCAGCAAAAAGCTATATTCAGCTTTTAAAAACCATATGCATGTTATCCTTAACATCTCATTTCGATTTTGTGTGGTTTATGTGGCTTCATGTACTAATAATCTCACTTACAAAGAAATGTAAGTGGAATCAATATTTTCACAAATGGTTTTGCCAGGTGTGTTATTCAGGGTTTTCTATAGAGAAAGAACTGATAGTATATATGTAGATAAAGATATATGATAGGGAATTAATTAGGGGAATTAGCCCTCATGGAGGCTGAGAAGCCCCATGACAGGCCATCTGAGATCTGGAAACCCTGGGATATTGGTAGTATGGCTCAGTCCAAGTCCCAGAGCCTCAGAACCAGGGAAACAGATGGTGTAATTCTCAGTCCCAGGCTGAAAGCCTGAGAACCTGGGGGCTGTTGGTACAAGTTCCATCATCCAAAGGAGCTTGGCATTCTGATATCTAAGGGCAGAAGAAGAAGGGTTTCCCACTTTCAGGACAGAGGGAGAGAGAGAAAGGGAATTCTCCTTTTCTCTGCCTTTTTGTTGTATTTGGGCTGATTGGATGGTGCCCACCCACACTGAGGGCAGATCTTCCCCAACTCAGTCTACAGACTCAATGCCATTATCCCATAGAGACACCCTCACAGACACACCCAGATATAATGATTTGACAGCTATCTAAGTATCCCTTAAACAGTCACCTTAACACCTAAAAGTAGCAATCACACCATGTACATTGTCATATACCTTGTCAAGTAACAATTGAATTATCTGGAACTCCTTGACTTGAAATCCTGACATGGCAAGTCCTTTGTTCTGAAGTCATTGAGGTCAAAGTCTACCACAGTGTTGTTCTCTTCATCAGCAACAAGAGGATCCCAGAAAATAATCACAACTCCAGATTTCAATATTTAAATTGTTTGAGCAGAAGTAATGCTGGGAAAGACTCTATTTTATCCTGGGGTCTGTAGATTTTTTCCCACAGATAATTTGGCAAAGCTCTATCATTCTCAACACAAAGAACATGTTTTTTGTTTTTTTTTTTTTTTTTTTTTTGCATTTATAAATTTGCAATAGTTGCCTAATTTTAGTCTTTGTTTCAAAACCCATAATTTGGATGCAATAGTTCACGGTTTATTGTGGTAGCGGTTTGAGGTAGGGGTGGTATATTTGTTTTGTTTTTCACAGCATTTGTAATTCAAGGCTTTGTTTTAAATTAATTACCTCATTTATATTGTCAAAAATATCCTTCCCTTAGCCAAAGTACAAATGAACTCATCCTTGTCAGGTAGTTTTGAGTGAATTGAATTTTCCTCTATATCACTTCATCTTCCACTTATCTCCCTCCAAAAGATAAAAAGAAAGAGCAAGAAAGAAGGGGGAAAAAAGATAAAACTGTTTTTTAAAATATAATCAAGCACTTGAAGTCTTGTTTTTGGAGCGTGTAGTCAAGAAGTTCATATTCTGCTTCCATCTCTTGACAAAACATACTGAAAAGAGTGATTTAAATCCTTGGTTTTGATAAAGTTGCTTTTCCATGGTGATGGACGAAGCTTCGTTCAGAATTGCTGGCACCATTTCCTATGAAATTGCATGCCGGTGTAAAAGGCAGTGAGTCATTATGACATGTGGAGTGCCTTTCTTCAAGAAAGCAGCCAAACCAGATGTGTTGCCAAGCATCACAGGTGCTCCACCTGTTCATAGAACACCAAGATTTGTCTTCCAGTGGACACTTTCCCTGGCAAAGAAACTTTTTGCCATTTCAAAGACACTGACATCTTTTCCTGTTTCCAAAATTAGCTCCCAAATCACAAATTCTTCTTAGATGGCAACAGTGTGCACACGATATGTGCAAACCAGGATTTGGCTTCACTAAGGGACATCTATATTTTTGTCCATTTGCATTCAGAATGCAAATGACACAGCTGCCAATTCTTTCAAGACTTGCTTTAAAATAGTGAAAAACATATCAGGACTTCTAGAATGGATGACATTTGTTAACAAAGGCAATTTTCTTTGTTAACTCAAAGGCACAAAACAGCTTAAGTGGCTCCAAAAAAGTTTCTCCAATAAGGCGGCTTGCTTGTTTTGGAATGAAATCAATGTCATGTTCTAATATATGATTTCTCTAAGTTCTCTTAAATATGCAATCTTAAAAATTAAGAATTTTTCTCATAGAATTGATTCATATAATCAGCTGTGTTTTCATGACAGAAAGGTACACTCCTTCCATTTAATTAAACGTAACCTTGGCTTTTTTGCCCCATGATTTTCTGAAATTGTTATGAAAGTATAATTAAAGGATATATTGATTCCTTCACCTCCTTTTTCTTTAGTATTTAAATTTTTAACTTGACCCCGACCTGAATTCCACAATCTTAATGGCAGGATTTTAAGATATATCAAAAGAAAATATTCTATACTTACAATATGATGATGATTAGCTAATTTATTTAAAAGTAATCACTGCACAAATAATATGAGCCAGGTACTTCCCTGGGCATAAGAGATAAAGAAATAAACAGGACAGATCCAAACCCCTTCCATCATAAAGCTTATAGAGTAATGTGTCACCACTGTATACTTTCTAAACATGTATCATTTGCAAATCATGCAACTTTATACTTGTTTTGAGCAAAATAAAATATGAATAACATAATAGCAAAATTGATGCTAAAATAATTTATTTTTTGTAATTTTCAAAATAAACCAAGAAGATTAAAGAAACTTAAGGTTTCTTTGTTGATTTATTTCATTATTTTTGTAGCTTCCTAAATGCCTACCTGGACCTTGAGGACCTTACACATCCAGTTTACATAATTCAGGCACAGAAGAAAAATATTAATTGTCAAAAACAGTTATGACATATTTAAAGTAGAAAAGAAAAGCATGCTGTTTATTCAAAAGAATTGAAAGAATTTTTTGAGCCTAGCCGATATACTTATTTATATTATTTTGTAAGACAGTTTTGCTTTAGGCTACTATATTTTTTTCCAGTTTTTTGAGCACATGAAAAACTCCTGACAGTCAAAATTTTGTGTTAATTTCTATGATACCAGTTTAAGTATTTATCATCACAAAGTTATTTGTCTTTGGGAAGGTTTATAACCCCCTTAAGTTGCTTCAAGTGAATCATTTTTCTTCAGAACAAACCTGAGTTTTCTTCCCTGTATAACTTTGGCAATAAGCTATTCTATTTGCCACCCTCAAATTGTGGATTCCCTTTTGTTGTGCTGCAAAAATAAATAAATAAAAAGATAAATACAATTAAGCTTCTAGGACAATGGTCTCTAATTAGGAAACAGGAAGATATAAAGCAAAGGGTTGTTAGAAAACATCTGTGGTTTTGTCTGTCCAGTGCAACAATTCACCAAATGCACACCACATTTTCACCAATTTGTTCCAGCAATTTCCTTGTCCCAATATTAACTAGATGGTTCCAAAGAAAGCTGCCATCTTCTTCGAGATTCAGAAACCCTCTTCATGGTGATTATTACCAGTAGAGTCAGCATTGACTCAGACAGAACCAATAAGAAACTTTCTCTGGGATTTGTGAACCTGAGAAAATATGGAATAACTTTTACTTCCTCTTTGGTTTTCAGATAATTAGGAAATTTAAGTGTGAAAGCTGCCAGTAACTTTGTGTGCAGCTGTTATGGGAGAAGTCAGTAGAAAGACAGAAGCAGAGTAAAGAGGGGGATACTTATCCCTGAGCCCTTGTTACAACTCTGTCCTTTCCTTGGTTATGTTAGCCAATAAATTACCCTTATTTGCTAGATGTAGTTCAACGTACATGTATGTAACTGGCAGCAAAAGTAATCTTGATCGTATAATGGTTCATTGATTTTTAGTTTGTAAAGTTGGTCAGTTACATTGTCACTAATAAATTAATTGTATCAATAAAATAAGTCTATTTTATCATTAATTTGGTATAGTATCTGTAAGAGATGATAAATCTATTTTAGAAGATTAAATGTCATTATCTTTTAAAATGTCATTTACATTATTTATATTGGTAATAATAGTAATTAATGGCTTAATAGAGTATGGGGAATTAGGAAAAAAGAGATGTTTAAACAAAAATCCTCAAACAACTTTGATGGAAAAGAGGAGAAAATATAATATTTAAATCTAAAAATTGGTTTTTAAGCTAAGCATAGGAGTGACATAATTTTTAACATAAATTATATATTTACATATAATTAAGTATTAATTTTCTTAATGTGATTATGAAGTAATGAGGTCTATAGGGCCTGAACATCTAAGTTTCGTGTTCTTTTTAAACATATCTTTTGTCAAAGGAATATTGATCTTACAGATACATTTTATCACATTGAGTATTCTCAAAATTCTCATTTTGAGACTGTGTACAAGCTGAGAAAATATATTTTTTACATTATTAAGAAAATTATGAAACCCTAAATTGCAATGTCTGTTTTTCTTCCAGGTATAATGAGAGAAAAGTGGTTACTTTCAAGACAGCACGCAATTCCTTTTGGGAGAAAATTGAAAATAGAAGAATGTAATTTGGTGATATTTTTGGTGAGCAGATGAGCTCCTCTGAGTGGAGCCTCTTAGTCTAGGTTGAGAAAAATATCAGTGAAACTATTCTGCATATGGAAAGAACAGCTACTTGGGAGTTGGAAGATGATGGAGTAGTCTTACCAACAGAAAGTGGAAGAATTGTCAGACGGTGTTGAGTAAGTATTTGAGGTTGGTGATTCCGCTTTGCACAATGGAAACAGCTCTCTGCTTTTGTTTAGCCTTGCTTGGTGGGGGCAGTGGCAGGGTCCATCAAAGGCTTCAGGTTTGCCAGAGAATTCCAAGGCAGGGAAAGACATGGAAGTGTGGCCATTACAGCACTGATACACAGAGAAAAAGGTTGGAATCCATGGGATGAAAGTCTTGAAAAACTTTCCATGAGGGATCCTTGAGAAAATAAAATAGAAGAAGCACTCATCCATTCAACAAATAGTTATTAGCATCAATCATGTGCCAAATTATCTTTTACATCTGGAGAAACCACACTGCAGAAAAAAGGAAAAGAAAACCCCTTGTGTTTACAGAGCTTATGGTCTAGCTAAAAAAAAAAAAAAAGCAACAACCAAGGTAACTGAATAAAATATGTGTTAGGTGATGATTAATGCTATGGGGGCAGGATGAGAGAGAAGGAAGGAGTGGAAAAGTGATAAAGGAAGAGAGGCAGTAAATTTTACAGAGGGTGGCCAGAGAATGACTGAGATGGTAACTTCCAAGTGAAGGCACAGCCATGAGGATACCTCAGAAAGCAGCAAAAGGGCAAAGCAAAAGTCCTGAGGTAGGAGAATGGCTGATATACTTGAGGAATAGCAAAGAGGTTATACTGTCTGGAAGAGAGTAAATGAGGGGTAGAATACTAAGAAATGAAATCAGAGTGATAATGTGAGAGTTGCAACTTTTGTAGGACCTTGCCAAACAATGCTCTTTAATGTGCAGGTGAATCCTGGGCACCTTATTAAAATGTATATTCTGGTTCGGTAGGTCTTGGTTGGAGCCTGAGGTTCTGAATTTTACAAGCTAACAGGTGATGGACCATACTTTGAATAGTAAGATTGTAAAGCATAGAAAGGACTTTGTTGTTGAATGGAAAGCTATTAGATACTTTGAAGCAGAGGCTAGAGATGATCTGACTATGCATTTCAAAGATCATACTGTCCATTCTTAATGATAGACTAAGATTGATTAAGATGTTATTGAAAAAAATTAGATGAGAGATGATGGTGACTTAGGATAATGGAGTCAGTTAGAAACCAGAAATGACAGAATTTGCTAAAAGAACAAATTTGAGGAGTGAAAGAAATGGGAGAGTTTGAGAATACCTCTGTGTTTTTTGTCCTGAATCACTCAAAAATAGAATTGGTCTTTGTTGAAATGGCAATGACTATTGAAGATGGAGAGAAGGAGATGAGGAACTCAGTTTTCACATGCTAGATTTGAATTCCTTATTAGAGATTTCAGTGAAGATATAAGGGAGGCAGTATGATATAGGAATCAGGGCAGAGATTATGATTGGCAATATAAAATAGGGAATCATTAGCATTAGCATAGTAGTCAACAGGATAACACTAAAAGTCACTGAAAGAGTGAGTAGAGAAAGAAGAGAACAGATGTCCAAGGATTGCAAGGACTGAGTCCACAAATGCTCCAATGCTTAGAGAATGAACAAAGGAAAAAATAGAGGAGGAGTCAGGGATGTTGAAGACAACCAGGATACTGTAGTACATGGTAGCCAAGGAAAGATGGTATATAAAAGAAGAAAGTGATCAACCAGGTTGAATACTGATGATAAATCAAGTAACATGTATACTAAAAATGATTATTGGATTTAGCAAAGGAAACATCATTAGTGACCTTGACAAGAGTAGTTTCCATGGAGTGCTGGGCAAAAACCTGAATGTAATAAATTCAAGAGAAAATAAAAGTAACAACATTAATGAGAGCGCAGTGTTGATACTTTCTGAGGTATTTGTGGCATGTGAGAATTAGTGTAGTATCTCAAAGGGAATAGAAGGGTCTGTTTTTCATTTCTGCTGTGACTTTTGCATTACAGATTTATTTTTAATGTACATAAACAGAGAGAGAGTAGTATAATGTATCCACGGGCACCCATTACCCAGTTTCGCATTTCTTCAATATTTTGACAACTTTGTTAAGACACAGATTTTAACTGTGGAAAAACAATAACAATGTTTATATGCTAGTGAGAAGACTCAGAAGAGAAGAAAAATTTGATAATGTAACAGAGATAGGGAAAATACTAGAGAGATTTCCTTAAGTAGACAAGAGTATGTGGGGTCTAGGGAACTAGAGGAAGAGTCAGCCTTCCCTGGGAGCATGAACAGCAAAATAATTATTTTGAGGACACAATGCACATGTAAGTTCTCCTCTGTGTGCTTGAATTTTCTAAATGAAAGACAGTAAAAAAATCCAGCATCTGTGAATGAGAATGAGAGTAAAAGTGATGAAAACTCAAGAACAAGATATGATAGTGTCTTCTAGGAAAGTGAGAGAATGAATAGATGGGAAATACAGCATTACTACAGGCAACATTATAGACCCACTTACGTGATCCTTTAAAGTGCGGCCAGTTAGCATGAGAGTGTTTTTTGTTTGTTTGTTTTTGTTTTTGTTTTTGTTTTTGTTTTTCCAGCCACATTCAGCTGTGGTTGGTGCAGGTTCAGAGTTGGTGGACAATTGGGTTAACTAAGAATGTAGTTCAAAAAAGCAAGCACAATAAAACAAGAAGGTGAGTAGTGTTGAGAACTAAGCAAGGGAGAGGTCATCATGAAGGACATAAAATCTAAGTTGAATAAAGAGAGATACAAGGGTCTGATGGAGGTGGGTTAGTGAGAGACAGGAATTTTTGCAATACCTTTATTGTGTGAAATATTTATAGAAATTGAAACTCTCTGGCTTTGAAAAGAAGGCTATGAAATAACATGACAATAATTTTCAAAGGTCCTTATGATTTGCACTTTAAGATAGTAGAAACACAACCTCCTGTGGGCTTTTCTTTCTATTTTATTTATTCCTGTCTTAAAATGACAAGAGAAAAAAAAACACATCAACTCAAATGTTTGGGGGATTTTCTTTTTAATATTGTTCAATATTGTAAATTATAAAAAGATATTGCTTTGCATAATAAACTCAGCATATTCAACCTTGTCAGCTGGTTTTCTGAGGTCCCTCTAGTAAGCTGACATCACTCAAAAAAAAAAAGGGAACAAAAACAGGATTTTTCTTCTTCACAAATACCCTAAGGGGCCTCTCCAGCTTTCTTGTTTTTTTCAAAAAATACTTCTTCACAGTCTAATGTGGTTAAAAAATAAAGCTCTAGAGTAAGACTTCATGAGCCTATAATATTGCTTAGCTGCCGAAGCAGAGTTGTATCATGTTGAACAAGATTCTTAACACATTTAATCTTCTTCCTAGATATAAAATATGGTTAAGGGTATCCAGGTCATAGGGTCATCATCCGTAGGCTAATTGTATACCTTCAGTAAGAATCCAAATGACGTCCATAGTACAGTGTCTGGCATATAGTGAGAGACCAATGCATGTGGTTTTGTTTTTCTTTATTTTGTTAATTTTCTGTCCTTGTTGGTGTTACAGTTGCTGAACTCTAATCTGCCTAAGTACCCACCCCTGGCATGTCACTAACCTCGTTCAAGTATCCCTCCTGCCAGAAGATGATCTCTGGCCCATCAGTCAGATCTGGAAACCCTATTTCTGTGCTCCATTAGGATGACATATTCCCCCTCAGCCATTATTTTTATGTACTCATTACTCTTCTGTGAGGATTAAAGATTTTTGCTGGAAGAGATTATGCATGATATCTTCTTTATATTGCCACCACTAGCAGAGAGCCGGCTCATAGGTGCTTAATACATTTTGAATGAATACGTGTGAATGGAGTTTGAATTTAAGGTGAGAACATTTCATGGTATGCACTATTATAGTTAAGGGACAGAAGTGCATTCATTTGGCTTGGTATTAATCATTGCTGCTAAATATCATTTGACTGTCCTTTAAATCTCTGGAGGTTTGTTGTTGTTTTTGTGTTTTTGTTTTTGCTCTGCCTTGTTTTGTTGTCTAAGCGTGTGGCAAAGGTTTCCTCCGAGGCCATGGCCAGGGCTGGGCTGGCCCTCTGGTCCATCTCAGCACTAACATACTAGCCTGTATCAGCTCTTTATTTATTATTTATTTATTTACTTGTTTATTTATGATGGCCTACCACTATTCAGCTTTTTAACTTCTTGCTCTCAATCTTTCCAACTTGGATCACTCAAGCATCTCAGCACCACATTTTTAAAAATTATCAACATTTGCCTTCCTGTGGCAGTGCCTACCACCACAGAGCACAAGGATTGTTTTCAAACTCTGCTCCTTTTGATTTAGGAATTCTAAGAGTTGCCCGGGAGGTTACCATTAGGAGAAACCATCAATTATAAGAGCTCCTCTTGCATCTATTATATGCATTGAAAATTTGAGGAAAACTCTTTTGAAGAAAGACCAATAGCTACAAGAATATTCGAAAAGCATTTCTTCACACTATTTTCAATGCCAAGCAATATATACCTATACATTTAAAATGTTTATTAACATTTAAACATTTAAAACATTGGTATTAAAACACAAACAATGTATTTCACCTTCCACCTGCATTGTTCCTTAGAGCTACGCAATTTCCAAATAGTTTCATTAATGTTTTTCATAATTGAAAACACAATTTTGAGATGTTTAGCAATGCATTTTTTAAATTGTTTTATTAGTCAATAATTTAAATTTAATTATATTTTTCCATGAGGAAGTACATAGATGTATATATATATATACACACACACACATATGAAGCATATGAGCAAACAGATTTTACATACATAGTGAATACACAAGGGAGCTGCTAACTAAAAATGGGTTAGAGAGATTATAAACATGAAAGTTGAATGAAAAGTGTATTTTATTGATATTTTTAATCTTTTTGAGACAGTCATCACACGCAAAACTTACGTGAGAAAAGTAACTCTAGTTGTAGATTTAAAGGTTTTGTTAAAGCTAATTTGAAATCTCAGTAATTAAGTTATGCAGAAAACTTTACCATATTACATTTTAAAACAAGTTGAGACATAAATGAAGGCAATTTATTACTCTAGATACAATCATGGACCCCTTTCTGTAGGTCATTCAACCATCAAAATGGCATAATGAATTTATATGAAACTGAAGTAGTTAAAATTTTAGAATGTGGCCAATGGTTCCTATCTTAACTACCTTGGAGCTTATAATGCTTTTGGCCTCTGCCTGCCTCTTGACATGTCTTTCTCCCTTTGTATTTTTGACATTCTCTCTCGTCGTCTTCTTTCTGCTTCTCTGCCAAGTATGTTCAGTCTATTTTTCATGCTTCTCTTTTATGTATTCATAAAATGCTGAAATTCTTGAGTTTTTTCAATATACTTGATCATGCTTGGATATTTCCTTCATTTCCATGATTTAAACAACCACTATGTATATTTACAACTCATAAATTATTAATGTATTTCAAACCTAGCTATCTACATTTTATTTCAACTTGCCTAGATCACAGACGGAAATTTGCTCACCAAATTCTTTTTTCTTTCCTACTGGGCATCTAGCTAGACAAAATTTCCCAGTCTCCTCAAAGTCAGGTATGAATACCTGATTTCTGACCAGTGGAATATGTTTTGATGTCATATGTGCCTCATTCAGGTTTGATCCATAAAAACTTCTTACCTATATAATCTTGGACTCTTTAAATATCTTAACATTATCTCCACCTACACTCTCTTTCTTCATCCACCAGCTACGTGGAAAATATTCTAAGGATACAGAGGAGGGTCAGAGACACAGGCTGGAAAGAGCCTTGGTGTTTGACTGACTGAATTGAACATAGACCCCCCCATACATACTCATCATTAGATTGGGATATTAATGAAATAGAAAATTTTATTGTGTTAAGCCACTAAAGTGGTTATTTATTACAATAGTTAGCCTACCCTAATACAAAGCTCCAATTCACTATGTCTGATGCTGAGCTATTTTTTGAAACTAGCTTCCCTTCCTATTTTTTCTCCTATTCAGATTTCTAAGAATGGCATAGAAGACATATTATCCTTACTAGAATTTTCATGGCTCATTATTGTCTCCCCACCACCCACTCCACTTTCATCATCTCACTAATTTTTTAGTATTATTTACAGAGTTCTAAGATCTCCGAGACCCCTGTGCCCTACTCATACAAGATGATCCTGATGCCTACAATACCTTCCACTATTTATTAGCCCCACCCCAATGAAGCTGGGGAACTACTACTCAAACTCAAGTTTGACTCAGAAGTCATCACCTACAGGAAGCTGTAACTCCTAGCTAGGTGATATATCTCTGCTCTGTACTTCCATCTTGTCCTGTGCTTGCTGCTATCATAGCAATTACCATCTTATATATGTTTGTCTTTATCTTAGACTGAGCTTTTTGGATATAAGAATGTATTTTAAATTTGTAGCTTTAGCAATACACACAGGGCTTGATGCCTATATACATTCAGTAAGTGTATGCTGAAAAAATGGTTGATACCATGATAATTGCAGCAGAGATATGTCAATTTGGTTCAACAAACATGTGTTGTCATATACATAGTACTAGGTACTTTGGATACTAAAATAGATAACATGAACCTTGACCTTACAGTTTACATGTGATAGTCTAATATAGAAAAAATAGTATATTTCTATAAGACTAAATTTTAATTACAGTTTTTTTACAGGTTAGAAGTTGTACCTGTGGATTTACATACCTTTGATAGCACTGGCTCTGGTGCTTAATAAGAACAATAAATTTCTCTAATGTTAAATCAATGTGGCACTAGTCTTGCTGAATCTAACTTCAATATGTCTCTTAAGCCCAACCTGTTTTCACTATTCCCCCTGCTACTGACTTTGTTCATACTCTACTCGTTTCTCATTTACATTGTTTCCCGATATTTCTAGCCTAGACTTCCCTTTAGGATTTCCTCAATAACTTGTTACCTGAACACCTGCATCTGAGTTCTCCTCTTGTACCAAACTCAACATGGCTTTGAACTCAACACTTTTTCTCCCTCATTCCCCTATGTCTGCCTTTCTCTTCTCCTTGCATTCGCACTTTTAGTAAATATCATCAATTACTGCTGATCCTACCAGCCAGAAACATGGGAACTTTGTCAATCTGTCCCTTAAATAGCTCTCAAATCTGTTTCCTGTTCTATATTCTTTTACCACTTGAGTTTAATTGTTGCCTGAACTGATGCAATAATTCAATAATATTTACTAACGTAATTCACTTCTCTATAGCAATACACTACCTATAGTTTCTAAGAGTGATTTTTGTAATATTCAAATCTGACTGTACTCCACTATGAATCCTTTCCTCACAGAGTAAAGCCCCAGATCCTCAGCTCTGCATCTTCCAGATGTTCAGTGTCTCCTCATGCCATCCTCTCACTCTCCAGTATACTCTGACTGCATCAGTGGTTTGATTCTGACTGTAACAATGCTGACTGAATATGCAAGCACATTCTTATGTTTGTACAGCCTCTTCTGATTATAATACCTTCTTTCTTTTAACTCTAACTCATCCTTCCGGAATCTTAAAGTATCATCAGTCCAAGATGGAACAGAATGGGACACCAAATAATGTTTCCTTTCACTTGAAGTCTTTTAGTAGTTGCTGAAAGATCATGCTACCTACAGTATGTCCTTGATTTCAACAATTGGCAGAACTTACTAAGCTCTCAATATACAGTAATAGTAATAATCATTATTAATAATTTATTAGTATTTACTAAGAAATTTTTATCTATATCCAGAATTCAGTTTTTAAACATCCAGCTGAGATTAACTGCAATCAGTAAACAGGGCAGTTGGTATTTGAGGGCAATATAAACTGATTTAAAAAATGATGATTAAAATACACATCCTCCATCTCCATCAGCTTGAATGGATACAGGTAAAATAAATTTTCCCCATCATAGCCTATAAACATTGATCCTACTCAAAATTCCAGAAATAGATTTTTTCTGGGTCACAGAAGAGATAAGAAGCTGAAAAGGAGAAAATACCTTAGCAAGTAAACACTAACAGAATGAGGTCATCAGGGTCCTTCAACTATCCCAAGAGCTCATGTAGAATCAGTTCATCTCAAAAAAGATCCCAGCAAGATAAAATATATAAAATATCCAAAGACAGATCTTTGTAAATTTGGCAGGTAGATAGGTTATATAGGTTGTATATTCTTTAAAAATGATGTCATTGGTTAGTCTGTCTCAGTGTCTTGGTGACAGGAGGGAAGACAGTTTACTTGCCTATGTAAAGAAAATAATGGAGCAGAGTGTATATTGAATATATCACGTTACTTTATAATCAAAGCATTTTTGTGCTGCTTATACTTTTATTCTTAATATCTATGTATCAAGGTGTTCCTTGTTTATGCCAGTGCATGTATTTAATTTTCTCAACATTTTGTAACATTAATACTCAATGATGCAAAGACTATAGTCCTGAGAAAGCAGTGTATCAATGAAACCACTCTTTTACTTTGACTTCTGCCATAACACTAGTGATGCTTAATCTTGATTTCTAAGAGATTTTAATTGGAAGTTGTTCCCACATGTCACTTCTGGTTCTCAGTGGACTTGCTTCTAACTATGATTTTTATTACCATCTGAAAGCTCATTGTTTACAGCAATCATTTTTTATTATAAGTAATCAGCAGCAGCATCATTACTGGGTCAATTCATGCCAAAGAAATAAAATAGCATTCTTTGTAGAGGAGAATCCACATTTCTTCAACATTGTACAAGTGCCTGTGGAGGCATCTTTAGATTACTTTTTTATGTATAAAATTTAATGTAAGTATTATTATTATTACTTTATCTATAGAATTTAATGTAATATTATTATTATTCAAACATGGCTTTAATTCTTGCATTCTGGTTGTTGTGCCCAAAGCCCCTTCTATATAGAAACTTTATATCAGAGCCATTTTAATTATAATGACATCAAAAGTTGGTTTTGAGGTACCATCTTGTTTGCGTGCTCAGTATTCCTAAGTAATGTTTGCCGTTTCATTCAGAATTTTCATCTACTCGGAAGCTGTATGGTCACCTCCTGCCTGTACAGTAGCCTTCAAGAGCAGGCCGAAAGCTTTCTTGCCTACTTCCATGTCTCTCCTCTCTATGACTGGATCCCTTGGAAAAGATCGTATCCAAATGTCAGATAAGTGAAGAGTTCCCTCTTCTGCCATCTCTGCTGGCACAATGGGTAACTTTGGAGAAAACTCTGGCAAGGAAGCCACAGTGTTCCAAGACCCAAAAATGTTTTGTTTTCTGGCTCAGCAGAGGGCAAGGCCCCATTCTTTAGTCCAATGCTGGAAGTGCCTTCTACACCCATGTGACTCTGGCCTCTACTAAGGGGGCTCCACCTCAGTGCCTCCCTTGTTTTTTTCTAGGAGGATGTAGAAAACTACAGAGAAGATGTCTATTCGTTTTCTGCCTTCAAAAACTGGTAATCCGTCATATGTGACCCACTTATTCCTGAGCTGTTTCTCAGAGATTTTCTAACTGAGAAGATTTGTTTCCAACTGAGAAGGGAGCTGACTTATGTGGGGAAGTCTCAACAATGTAGTTTATTTCCTTTCCTTTTCCCTCTCACAGCAGTAGGGATGGCATTTTGTCTCATTTTCTTCCAGCCAATGAGTTAACAAATATTTATTGAATAATTACGGTATGCACTGAGCAAATATAGGCTCTGGGATTAAAGTGAGAACAAAAGAGACCAAGTTTTTGCCCTCATAAATCTTCCAGTTTCAAAGCAAGTGAAAAAGCCAATTGGCTTCATCATCTCTCCTGACCACTGAACAGTGACCTCAGCCCTCTTAGATCAGTTCTGGTCTAGGAGGTTAGAGGAGAGGTAGGACATAGATGTTTTTAAATGTAATGATGGTGTTCTGTAGGTATGATTCTTGTATCAGAACACCTATCTAGACACTCTTAAAATAATTCCAGGCCATTTCTATTATCTGTAGCTGTATGCAAATTGTATTGAAATATCAGGTCATGATCTTTCTTCTCCACTCCATTTCTCTCCTGTCAGTGAGGAGGTTTTGTAAAATAGATGAAAATATATACAGTGACACAAAAATACAAAGCTAAATATCTATAGTAGAGAAATGCAAATTAACATAACCACCGTATGATTTTCCTAGCAGGAGATCCTAGCTAATATGAAATTTTTTGAGGCATCACAGCACCCATAAAGTATGGGAAATAAATAAGTGAATTCCTGAACAATGTGATATAAATTTGATGTTACCTTTAAATATGAAAAATAAGCCTCTGATATATATCCATTAGGATCTTAGATTTGTTTAACTTGTTATCACTAATGCCCTATTGAAGTACAATTGAAAATTAATATATATAGTAGTAAAAAAAATGACCATTAAAGAAAGTTCATGCATGACATTTTTATAGACTTGTGGACTCTCTTGAATTCAGAATGTGGGCCAGATGGTCATAGGTGAATTGTTCTCACTCACTAATGCTTTCTGCTGCTTCACTGATTTTTGATCTTCAGATTGCTTCAGTCTCATTCAGAATGTATGGTAAATGAAAATTTCCAATTGTCTTCACAAAATATCTTATTATGTTTATGATAAAAAATTACATAAATTTTATAGGCCTAAATCAAATAAAAGCCTTACTAAATTCATAGATACTTCAATGGGAAATATTGAGTTTATCTTTAAGAGTGAAAATGATTTTTCTGAGCTTGCAATATGTTCAAATCCCTATTTTTGTGCTAAATATCTTTTGTATGTATTCATTTATTTATTAAGTTCATATTCAATAAAGTCATTCGTTTGATTATTCAGTTATTTATTTCATCGTAACTCCAGATGTATTAGTTTGGGCTGCTATAACAAAATACAACAGACTGGGGGGCTTAAACAACAGACGTTTATTTTCTCACAGTTCGGGGGCTACAAGTCCCAGACTGAAATGCAGATTCAGTTTCTGGAAAAGACTGTATTTCTGGCTTACATATGGCCATCTTTTTGCTGTGTTCTCACATTACAGGGAGAGAGAGCTCTGATGTCTCATGCTCTTCTTATAAAGAAACCATTTGTATCAGATTAGAGCCCTACTCATATGATCTCACTTAACCTTTATTGCCTCCTTATAAACCGTAACTCCAAGACAGCCACATTGGGGAACAGGATTTTAACATAAAAATTGTGGGGCGTGGGGTGGGGGCAAACAATTCAGTCCATAACACTAGGTTACCCATTTTGTATCATTATAAAATAAAGCAAATGTTACTTTTGACATTTCGTAAGACATAACAGTTTATATTCCTTTCATTGTAAAAGGCAATTAAAATGTATGTATTATACCTGCTGAGTGACAAAAGCATTATTGGTCCTGAATTGGCAAAATTTTGAACCTCAGTGGCAAACATAGGTTGTAAATATCACTTAGAAAAGTTTCAAAGCCAAGCAGTCAATAGTGTGCTATGAAGCCAAATGATATAAGTTTTCATGTAAACTTTGAAAATTAAACTACTCTTTATTATCATTATTAAGTTTAGGTGCTGTTCACACTGGGTTCTTGATACCTGGCACCAACAAATCAACTATGGTGAGCATCTTAATCCAAAATTCTCCAAATTCTGAAACTTTTTGAGCGCCAACATGATGCTCACGGGAAGTGTTCACTGAAACAGTTCAGATTTCGAATTTTCAGATTAGATATGCTCAACAGGTAAGTATAACTCAAATATTCCAAAACCTGAAAAAATCCAAAATTTGAAGTATTTTCAGTCCCAAAAATTTTGAGTCAGAGGTAGGAATACTCTACCTGTATTTCATGACAAGCATAAGTTTTATTATGGAAATGCCAGCATTTAAGACAATACTTATGACAGTGGCATTGGTTAAATACCAGTCATCTATTTCTCTTGGGCACAGCTGATTGGGAGAGGGCTGTGCCCATAAAGGGGCTACTAGCAAATTCTCATACCAACACATGATGATAAACTAGACTAATTATTTATTTTAGAAATTAGAGCTGTAGTTTATGAACAAGCTTACCAAGTTTAGAGGCATCAAAAAAATAAAGACACAAGGACAAGCAGTGAATGCATGTGTAGGTGGTGGGTAGGAGAAGGGATAGCATATCTGTGTCAATGCAGAGCCCAGAAACAGGATTTCAGCAATATCGCTTACAGGTGAGTGCAATAGATAATTTAACCTTGTCCAATGACAGGTCTGGCTTTTGCCCTCAGGTCCTACACGGTAATCTCTAATCCCTTGGATGGATACAATGCCTCATAAAAATATCTTGGTTTACCTGGGGGCTTCGGCCATACTAGGCAACCTTATAATGTGATCTGTGGTATCAGCTAGACTTCCAGAGAGGTTGGAGACTGAGATCAGCCACGTGTCCAACCAACCATGTCAGTATTACATGATAGGACGTCACTAAAAACTCTGGCTCAGGTGAGATTCACTGGTGGACAATATGCCATGTGTTTTATTACATTCTGTTGCTGGGAGAATTAATGCTGTCCATAACTGCACGCGGAGAGTACAACTGGAAGTTCCATGTTTGGAATGTTCCTGAAGTTGCCTTATGTGTCTCTGCCCTTGGGTAATTTTAATCTGTATCCTTTCACTGTAATGAAACATAACTGTCAGTAGAATACTTTCAGTGAGTTCTGTGAGTCCTTGTAGTGAATTATGGAAACTAAGGCGGTCTTGAGGACCTCCAAACTTAGAGTTGGTGTCAAAAGTAACGATGGTCTTGTGGAGTATTACGTAACATCACAGTAGGGGTAAGGAAAAATAACCCATTTGACACACCTGCTAGGCATCTTGAATTAAGGCCTAATTATACGTCGTTGCATGCCTTTTTCCAGGTCTACTAGGCCGAGCTGTGTGTATTACTTCCTTCTGCGTTTTCACTATTTCCCCAGAGTAGACTCTCCCACTTGAAGATATTTAAGGGAGCATAAGAGAGCATCATGATAAGCCCACCATTATAGTTGAAGAAGTAGAGTATATTTGCAATTTGTTTCATTTTTAAAATTCACACTTGCACATATGCTGTATGAAATTCAAGTATTTATAGGGGAGATTTGTTATGGTCTATGAACTCTGGTAAGAAAATATGAGATAAGGACAAGAAAACAAATGTGGATAGCTGTAAAACAACAACAATAAAAAATACTGCTGTGGAAATGTTGCTCTTTGGGTTTAGAGGAGAGCTAATCTAAGGTAGCTGGTAGGCTGTATGAGATGAGAAATGGCTTTTATTATAGCCATTCTTGTGTTTACCCTGCCACTTCTGTGGTGCCTTCCTGTGCTCTGGACATTTCCTTTGACATGGATACTCTCACCAAAAAATGCCTGTCCTTGATTCATTTCCTTGGGACTCTTTGTTTTCCAAGGTAATAGGTTGTTAATATGATAAATTTCCCTTGGCTGAGTTATTTTTGCTGTTGGCCTAATATAGAAGCACTCAGTGATAACATTTATATTTTTCAGGATCTTTTGTAATGTGTATCCAAAAATCAATGAAACCGCTCTAATAGTAAGCTTTTAGGTAGACTGGTAGTGGGGGTCTTTGGCTCTGTTTTCCATTGTTTTGGAAAAGCACTAGGAGACCTGTGTTTAATTCTGCCACTAATGAATTGTCAGACTTCAAAGGAGTGAACCCTCTTCTGTATACTTATCTGGTCCTACAGTATTAGACACAGGGAGACCCTGCCAATGACTGACAATGTTTTCTTTATGTAGGGTGACCATATATCTCAGTTTGTGTGAGTCAGTGACAATTTATACCTTGCCTCAACATAATTATTAATTAATTAATTATTAATAGTCCCTCTTCATTCTCAAAAGTGTTCCAGTTTAGATGATATCCAAGTAGAATTTGTGCCAAATGCCCAGTTGATAGGAAGCTTTCCCATTATTATTGTGCTAACAATCCCAGAGTGGTAAGCACAGGTGAAAGCTACTTGCTCAAGGAACTGTAGATAAATCTCACCCCAGGTTAAAAGCCAAATCCTTCAGCACCTGACTTAGGCAATACCTTCTGTAAATTATTACAGTGACTGAGTCATTTTACTGAAAGGGTCTTAATATAAAAGTTCTGTGCCGAAAAAGAATTAGAGATGGTTTTTAGGAAGCCAATATCATATTTTTTCTTGATTATTTGTTCTTTTTTACCCTCCACTTTTGCCCCTGCTAATACTGTAAATCAAAAGGGAGCAAAAGGTATCTAACTAATTATCTAGGTTTACATTTTCCTCATTTCATTGAAATCCTCCCTTTTTGAAAATCCCGTCCATCCAGGAGACTCTAGTGAGCATATTCATATTTCAAACAAATCTGCCTTTGTTAATCATCAAAAGGTATTTTCTTTAATAAGTAAAGCTCGGCAGGCCCTGCAGCTGTGTTGTTTATTTTATAGCAAGCACAAAGACAATTTATTTTTTTAAATACTATAATTAGATTAGTGTTCTCTTTACTGAGGCATCTGTAGGAAAATGAGTGTGTTTCTTTGAATGAATGAGCAGTCACATTTATTTTTATTAAATCTGAACTTGTCCTCTGAGATAGCTGAATTTAATTTTATGTTCAAATACAACATGTAATACTACAATTTTTTTCAGATAAAGCCACAGTCCCCCCAAAAAGAAGGTTGGACTAAATTGAATCTTCTGATTCCAATTTTATGAACTGCATTAAAATCTCTCTAGGGTGCAGGATTATGTTTGTGTTGAAAAATGACTACATTAAGATATGTATTTGCATACATAAACAAATATATTTGGTTGGTTATCTATGACCTGTCATTGACATAGAGAATATTATAGAATATAATATTATTATGCCTTTGTTATTACTCTACAGGTCTTTACTAAAAAGTTTTGGAATTGCTAATTATAAATCAAAAAGATTAATTTCCAAAATAGAGACTTTTTAATGTTTTAGATACCAGTTTGTCAACATTGTATCCTTTAAATGGTTCCTTAGGACTGTCTAGACAGTAATTAAATCACTCAGAAAATAAGTCATCACATATTGACAATCACTTTTCCTTTTCCCTTTTGCATAGCCAATAAGGAAAATATTTTCCTTTCTTTATGCCCATTTAATCTTAGCTGATGAAAGCAATTTAGTGTTGGTGCTATACCTTTAAGAATGGAAAACTATTCTTGTTCTGTATTTTATAACAACAAAACTTAGTGGCTTAAAACAACAATTTGTTATTATCTTTCATGGAGTGTGGGTTCACTGAGCTCAGCTGGGAGGTTCTTGCCTGGAGCCTCTCAATCAGTAACAGTGAAATGGTGTCTAGAACTGGAGTTATTTGAGGGCTAAACTGGGGTGGATATCCAAGTGAGCATTTTATTATACATAACTGACTTTTCAGCTGAAAAGTTTCAAACAGCTGGGAGCTGGCAAGTTTTCTCTCTCTCCCTCCTGCCCTCAGCCCTCCCTCTCCCCCATATGCCTCTCTCCTTCCTTTTCTACATGGCCTGTCCAGCTTGGCCGATTTGAGCTTGCTCTCAGCATGTCAGCCTCAGAGTGATTGGGCTTCTTACTTAGCACTAGCTTCCCACAGAGCAAGTATTCTAAAAGACCAAGGCAAAATCTGCATGGCTTCTTATAACCTGACCTTAGAGGTCATTGAGTATCTCTTCTGCTGCTTTCTATTTGTTACACAGCATCATCCCAAAATCAGGGTTGGAAGGGACTGCCCAGGGGCATGAGTACTAGAAGGTATGGTTCATTGAGATGGGGGGAAGGTGGAATTTATTTGCAAAAGCTAATAAAAATTAAAACAAAACATGAATTTTAAATAAATTTAGTCATAATAAGAAAATAAATGCCATCAACTCCTCAAACCCATAAACTTACCCATATGTTGTTTTCAGAATCTTTATGAGTCTTACATTTATCTCCTCAAATAACTGTAGCCACTTTTGTTACTTATTTTTAGTGTTACTGTTTTACTCTTTTAACTATAGTGCTGTAATAATATTCTTCTGTATATTTTTATGAAATAAAATTTTATTTTAAAAACATTATGAGTGAAACATGCATTTGTCGGCTTGCTTAAGTATGTTACATTGCCTCTGATGAAATTATTTGTTAACTTTTGGGATATAATTTATCTGACTAATGAAGAAGTCTTATAGTCAATCAACCAAGCAGTAATATAACTTGCTACAATGAAAATAATTTTTAAAATGTTTTATTATTATATTAAGAACTAACAAAGGAATGTATCGATTTTTCAGTAATAACAATGGTTTCTAGTATTTTGCTGTAATTTGCAGCTATGATGGTTAACATCTCTGAAAACAATTGAGGTTAATTTATTTTTCAAACCATATTTGGATATTTGAATACCTAATTTCTATTCACCGGATAATTTCTTATTCAATCTCTACCTCTCTTTATATTTAAAAGCACAAGAGACCTAAGGAAATATATTATTTTTGTATAATTTCTGAAGAATACAACGAAGATCTTTTACCCAGTGGAAAAAAATATAGAATCCACTGAATGAAAATGTATTGATTTTGGAAAATGAACATGAAAGGCTTAAGAACTACACAAAATTCTCAGTATTGTTTTCCTTGTTATTTTTCCTCTTCTGAAAATTTTTTCCTATTTGTTAATAAATCAGTGTATTTAAAATGCATGCAATCACCATTTCATTTTTAACTTCCTCCCGAAACAGTTTGAGCTGTAAACTCTGAAGATTTCCACTTGGATAAAAGGTTATAGACAGTCCTAAAACCAACTGTAAAAAACAACACAGAATGTTACAATCTGTATTTTTCCACAACTAAATTGATCAAAAAACTGTTGCAATTGAGAGCTATTGTTTTAAAACAGGGGTTATGTCCAAGATAAGCTTTATCTAGGTTATTCTTTGGAATTTAGGTGTAGAAAAATTATTGGCAACCTTTTAGATATAGGCCATAAATTTAAAAATAGACTGTTTAATAAAGCACCAGGCACAAAAGGAAATAGAGAGGTAGATAAGTAGAAAAAAAAGAACTCTTAAAATACTAAAAAATAAAAGAAGAGGAAGCCAGAATATGAATTCTAAAAGGAGACTAAGTGTTAGAGGCAGCTATAGAGAAGTGTTTTTAATCAAGTCTATGAGGTAGAATGAATAAAGAAATTCTTTTTAGGAACTTCTGATAAAACAAAAAGAAAAAAAGAAAATTCTTACAATCCAATGTAACATACAAAAAAGTATTGCAGAAAAATGAAATCATAATTTACAAGCCAATTTTTACCTTTAAGAGAAGCACAGTATTCTAGAAAAATAATCTATCAAGCAAGATTGAGTATTATTCCTTTTCTTTGTTTCTATTCTTCTATATTTCAATATCTTGTTGGCTTGTTTTGAGAGCTCATTTGTTCTGTCATCCTAAAAGAGGCCAAAGACCAGAATGCAGTGCAGTAAGAAAAGGCATTTATTGGGGACTTAGGAATTGCAATTCAGGAGTCACAGATTCATGTAGAAACCAAATTATATTCCAACAAAGAGGAGGGAAATGGAATTTTTAGGAGTAAATCGAAAGGAAGCTGAAGATGATTACACAAGTTGTTTTGGAAAAATTATTTGTGGAGGCAGCTGTCTTAGTACATAAGTCCATAGTTCATTGGTTGTTGCTGTTTAGGCGTTGTGGCACTGGCGAAATTTAGCTGTTTTCCAGGATGTTGTGGTAGTTACAGTTTAACCCAGTTCAAAGGCGCAAGGTAATCAAGGTAATTTTTTTTTTTTAACCTGAGGGCAGTCCTTCTTAGAATGGCTTCCTGACTCTTATTTACAGCTCTGAATCAGAGTGCCGCCATTTTGTATATCACATTTCACACTCTTGACTAACGACGTTTTATTGTTTAAAATAAAACCCCAATCTATTTGTGGATACATGTGTGAGATGGACTTCTATGTAATAAACATATTATCTCTTTGTTTTCCATTCCTAGATTATTTTATATCACCTATGCCCTGAACTTTCTCTGCAAGGAATAGCATTATCTTCTACCTTTTAGCATATTTGTTATATTTTTCTATCAGAATGATTAATATTTTAACAGATTTTATTTTAAGCTTAGACTCACATGGCAAAATGCAGTGGTAGGAATGGGCAGGATGGAGACGATGGTGGTGGTATTGGTATTGTAGAAAGACTTGATATAAAGTAAAATATATATATAAATAAATGAAAATTAATATAGAAGAAGATTTAGGAATTTATTTTTAATAAAGGAAATGGAGTATTTTCAATGTTGTGCCTCATAATTAGAAATGATAATAAGTGCCGTTTATTCTAGTTCAACTAGAAGAACTTAGGTGGAATGCCATATTTTTCCAGATAGTAAACACAAAAAATTATGTCTTTTATTTCAGTTTGAAATTGTTTGTGTTGGGCCTGACTTATTTGTGATTCATCTCATTCATTGTTAAAGATTCTGAGCTACCTCTGCCCTGTGGACTTGCTGCTTTTTCCTTAGCCCACTGTCTAAAGCTGTGCCTAGGACATCCTTAAAATGTGTCTTTCTCTAATTGTTCTACTGTAACTCAGGACACAAAAGCTGTACAGGGTTCCTGATGTTATTTATTCTCTTCACAACCCCTCCCTGTAAATGTGTTACTACCAGGTGCATTAATTTAAATTGGTGGCTTTTCATTCTCAAGCTCCTTGCCTGTGATCTTGTCTTGCTCAGGAGTAATCCTGAATAAACTACTCAGGAACTTTACTATGTCCATTCTGATATTGCTCTTATCTTTCGCAAAAGGTTGAAAAGGTCTTAATCTCTGGAGAAAATATTCAATAATATTTTCCAGCTTGAATATAATCTTATGAGACTACTTTTTTATATGCAGTTCATCATTGACTTAAACATTGTTATGTGGCCTATATGATATTGATGATCCTGACCTTGTGTATGTGATATAATTTGGATATGTGTCCCTGCCCAAATCCCATACTGAATTTTAATCTGTAATGTAGGAGGTGGGGCCTGGTGGGAGATGACTGAATCATGGGGGTGGATTTCTCATGAATGGTTTAGCACCGTCCCCTTAGTCCTGTTCTCATGATAATGAGTGAGATCTCCTGGGATCTGGGTTTTTAAAACTACATGGCACCTCTTGCTTCTGCTTTTGCCATGTGACATGACTGCTCTCTATTCACCTTTGCCATGCTTATAAGCTTCCTGAGGGCTTCTCAGGAGCAGAACGTCACTATGCTCCCTGTATAGCCTGCAGAACCATATGCCGATTAAACCTCTTTTCTTTATAAGTTACCCAGTCTTGGGGTATTTCTTTATAGCAATGTGAGAATGGCCTAATACAGATAATTGGTACCAGAAGTGAGGTATTGCTTTAAAGACACCTGATAATGTGGAAGCAGCTTTGGAACTGGGTAACAGGCAGAGATTGAGAGAGTGTGGAGGGCTCAGAATAAGATAGGAAGATGAGGAAAAGACCTCTTCAAGACTTGTTAAATAGTTGACCGAAATGCTAATAGTTATTGATATGGACAATGAAGTCCTGGCTGATGAGGTCACAGATGAACATGATAAACTTATTGGGAATTGGAGTAAAGTTCACTTTTGTTATGCCTTAGCAAAGAATCTGGTTGCATTATATCCATGCCCTAGGGGTCTGTAGAGGTTTGAACTGAGAATGATTATCTAGGATATCTGGTAGAAGAAATTTCTCAGCAGAAAAATGTTGAAGATGTGTCCTAGATGCTTCTAACAACCTATGCTTAGATGTGGAAGCAAAGGAATGACTTGAAGTTGAAACTTATATTTAAAAGGAAGCAGAGCTTAAAAGTTTAGAAAATTTGCAGCCTGGCCATTTGGAAGAGAAATAAAAAGCATTTTTGGGAGAAGAATTCAAATGGGCTGCTGAACAACCACTTGCTAGAGTAATTTGCCTAACTACAAAAGAAGCAAATGCTGAAAGCCAAGCCAATGAGAAAAAGACCTTGAAAGCATTTCAGAGACTTTTGCAGCAGGCCCTCCCATTACAAGACCAGATGTTTAGGAGGGAAGAATGGTCATGGGCCATACCCAGGACCCCACTGCCTGGTACAGCATCAAGAAGCTGCTCCCTGCATCCCAGCCACTCAGGCTCTAGCTTTCACTCAAAGGGGCCCAGGTAAAGCTTAAGCCACAGCTCACAAGGATGCAAGCCATAAGTCTTGGTGACTTCCATGTGATGTTGAGCCTGTGGGTGCACAGAGTGCAAGAGTTGAAGCTTAGGAGCCTCCACCTAGATTTCAGAGGATATATGGAAAAGCCTGGTGCCAAGGTGGAGAACTGCTGTGGGAGTGGAGCCCTTACAGAGAACTGTACTAGGGCAGTGCAGAGGGCAAATGTGGGGCTAAAGTTCCCCACAGAGTCCTCACTGGGGCACTGGCTAGCAGAGCTGTGGGAAGAGGGACACTGTCCTCCAGACCCAAGAATGGTTAGATCTATCAGCAGCTTGTATCTTGCAGCTAGAAAAGCCACAGAGACTTAACTGCAGCCTCAGGGCTATACCCTGCAAAGCCACAAAGGCAGAGCTGCTAATGCCTTGGGAGCCCACTGCTTGCACCAGTGTACCCTGGATGTGGGACATAGAGTCAAAGGAGATTATTTTGGAGCTTTAAGATCTAATGACAGTCCTGCTGAATTTTGAACCTGTGTGGGGCCTTTCTTTTGGATGATTTCTCTCTATTGAAATGAGAATGTTTACCCAATGCTGATAGTACCATTGTATCTTGAAAGTAAGTAACTTGATTTTTATTTCACAGGCTTATAGATAGAAGGTACTTGCCTTGTTTCAGATGAAATTTTGGAGTTTGAACTTTTCAATTAATACTGAAATGAGTTAAGACTTTGGGAGACTATTGGGAAGGCATGATTGTATTTTGAAATGTGAGAAGAACATGAGATTTGCTGGGGGACAGGTCCAGAATGTTACAGTTTAGGTATTTGTTCCTTCCCAATTTCATATTAAATTGTTATCCTCAATGTTGGAGGTGGGGCATTGGGGGAGGTAATTGAATCATGGGGGTAGATTTATCATGAATGCTTTAGTACCACCCTCTTGGTCCTATTCTAGTGATACTGAGTGAGCTCTTGTGTGATCTGGTTGTTTAAAAGTATATGGCATCTCCCCCCTTCTCTCTCATGCTCCTGCTGTCACCATGTGATGTGCAAGTTCTTGCTTCATCTTTCACCATGATTGTAAGCTTCATGAGGCCTCTACAGAAGCAAATGCTACCATGTTTCCTGTATAGCCTGCAGAACCATAAGCCAATTGAACCTCCATTATTTATCAATTACCCAGTCTCAGGTATTTCTTTATAGCAATGCAAGAATAGACTAATGCAGTAAATTACAACCTAATGGGTTCTTCTTGCCTGCTACACCAAAAAGCCAATACACTGAGACAGTGGTGTTGCAGCAAACAGTTTAATTATCACAAAGCAGCTGAGTGGAAGGATAAGAAATAGTTCTCAAATCTGCCTTCCCAAAAGCTCAGAGTCTAGTGTTACTAAGAATAATTTGGTGGGCAGGGGCTTAGGGAATGGGTGCTGCTGATTGTTTGGTGATGGAATCATAGGAGTGTCCAAAATGTTTTTGGGTGCTAAGTCAGTTTCTGGGTGGGGAGGGGTCATGAGACTGGTTGAATCAGTTCTTCGTATGAATCTTGGGGGTCCAGGTGGTGGGGCTGGATGGCCTCAATTGGTCTGCCTGAATGCACAAGTCTGATAAAATCTCAAAGACCAATCTTAAATATTGAGAATAGTGATATTATCTATAGGAGCAATTGGAGAAGTTACAAATCTTGTGACCTCTAGCTACATGACTCCTGAGCAGTAAGCAAACTATGGTACAATGGCTGGTTATTGCTTAAGTATGTATAGGTCCTAGCAGAATTCAGACCTCTCCCATAATTCCAAACTTGCAAACTTTCATTAGATTTACAAAGGTAATTTTGGTTCCTGAATAAAGAGGGGGTTAGTTTTGGGAAGGGACTATTATCATCTAGCTTTAAAGTTAAACTGTGAACTAAATTATTCCCATAGTTAGCTTGGCCTAGGCCCAGGACAGTTAGCTTGTGAGGTTAGAAACCAAATGGAGTCAGTTATGTTGATACTGGATTTCTCTGACATAATTTTTGCAAAGTCAGTTTTATGTAGGCCTAGGCTAAAGTGTATTTTGCAGTCTTAGTTTTCAGGAAAAAAGTTTAAAAGGTGAAAAAGTAAAGTCTTAAATACGGCAAAAGCTTATAGAAGAACAGTATTAAAAAAGAAAATATTTTTGTATGGCTATACAACGTGTACTTTAAGCTAAGTATTATTACAAAAGAGTCAAAAAGTTAAAATACTTAAAAAGTTTATAAAGTTAAAAGTTACAGTAGACAAGGGCTAATTTATCATTGAAGAAATAAAAAATTAAAATGAATTTAGTGTAGTCTAAGTGTGCAGTATTTATAAAGTTTATAGTAGTGTACAGTAATGTCCTTAGGCTTTCACATCCACTCACCACTCACTCATTCACTCAACCAGGGCAGCTTCCAATTTTGCAAGCTCTATTTATAGTTAAGTTCCTGAAAAGAAGAAAAACCAAGCAGCTTTTCCTGTGTTCTTACACTACAACAATCAACACAGAAGACTTCTGTGACAAATATGTGGAGATTTTTCCCTACACACTAAGTAAGCAATCAATTCTGAAGTGAACACCAGCTGGTTCTCTTCCAGTTTAATTCTGACACTATCTACCTGAAGATACCCTCAAATCCCATGGGGTGAAAGCTCAGTCCCACAAGACTGCTCCCCTACTTCTAATGACAATTCACATTCCCCAGGCTGTTTACTTGTGCTTCAGATCACCTGGTTATAAATCAAAGTTTCCATGATTCCCTCCTTGGTTTTAATTACTTTGTTAGAATGGCTCACAGAACTCAGGTAAACACTTACTTATGGTTCCTGGCTTATTATTAAAGGACATAAAGGATGCAGATGAAGAGAGATGCATAATATGATGTGTGTTGAAAAGGGCACGCCACCCTCCAGGAACCTCCACATCTTCGCCTGTCTGCAAACTCTGAGAACCTCAGAACCCTGTCTTTTTGGGGTTTTATAGAAGCTTTATTATGTGGGCATGATTGATTAAATCTTTCCCCATTCACAATCAAATTAACCTTCAGCTCCCACTCCTCTCCCTACAGATGGGGATAGGGGTTTGGGGGTATATTCATTCATTCTTACATTGCTATAAAGAACTACTTGAGACTGGGTAATAAGAGTTTTAAATGACTCATAGTTCCACAGGCTATACAAGAAACATAGCTGGGGAGGCCTCAAGAAACTTACAATCATGACAGAAGAAAAAGGGGAAGCAGACATGTCCTACGTGGCTAGAGCAGGAGGAAGAGAGTGAAGGTGGTAGTGCTACACACTTTTAAACAACCAGATTGCATGAGAACTCACTGTCACAAAAACAGCAAAGGGGAAGTCCGCCCCAAGATCCAAGTACCTCCCACCAGGCCCCTCCTCCAACATTGGGGATTACAATTTGACATGAGATTTGGGCAGGGGCACAAATCCAAACAATACCAGGGAATGAAAGGGTAGAGGGGAGCAAAAAGTTCCAACCCTCTAATCATGCCATTATTTTTCTGTGACTAGTTACTTCCTGAAGCTACCTAGGGGCTGATAGCCATCAGTCAACTCATCAGAATACAAAAAGATCTCATTTTTGAGATTCTAAGGATTTTAGGAGTTGCATACCAGAAAACACGGAGGAAGACCAAACACATATTTCATAATATTACAGTGCCCAATATAATTATTTCATTATTATCTTTTATTCCATATTTTTACTGTACCTTTTTGATGTTTAGATACACAAATACCATTGTGTTACAATTGCATACAGTATTCAGTACAGTAATATGCCATACAGGCTTATAGCCTAGGAGCAATGGGCTACACCATTAGCTTAGGTGTGTAGTAGGCTATACCATCTAGGCTCCTATAAGTACACTCTATGAGGTTCACACAACAATGAAATTGCCTGAGAATGCATTTCTCAGAATATATTCCCATCATTAAGTGAGACATAACTGTATACACAGTTGACCCTTGAACAATGTAGTTTTGAGCTACACAGTTTCACTTATATGTGAATTTTCTTTCACCTGTGCCACCTCTGAGAAAGCAAAATCAACTCCACCTCTTCCTCCTCCTTCACAGCCTACCCAAGGTAAAGACAATTAGATGGAAAACCGTTATGATGATCCACTTCATTTAATGAATAGTATATATTTATTTGCTTATATTCTCTTTCTTATGATTTTCATAATAACATTTTCTTTTCTCTAGCTTACCTTGTTACAAGAATATAGTATATAATACATATAACATACAAAATATGTGTTAATTCATTGTTTATGTTTTTGGAAAGTTTTCTGAGTAAACAATAGGCTATTTGTGCTTAAGTTTTAAGGGTTAAAAATTATATGTGGATTTTCAACTGTGCAGTGTTTGTCACCTGTTCCTCCCATGTTGTTTTAGAGTCAACTGTATATATTTTCCTTTTAGTTGTCCCCTGAACTGGAGACCAACTGAGAATTCTCTCTACCTAATTAAATATGCTTCAATAAAATGTTGATAGCTATAATATAAATTGTCTAATTAACTTAGCTTCTGATTTATACAATGCCTTATTAATAATAAAATGACATAACTATTAAATAAATAATTATCTTTTAATTTTAAATAATTCTGCCTTTTACAAACTTAATTTTGTAACCTTTGAAATCCTTAAACCATGTACTTAACTGACTGACTGACTACCATGGTGTTACTTTTTAAAATCACCATAGATTTCTCATTTATATTTGTCAGTTCTCATTGTTATTGGTCACAATAGTTTATATGCAAGTTACTTTATTATAAAAACAGTGCATACACATTGGAGAAAATCTGTAGTATCAAATTATAAATTTTAAATCACCCATAGTCTCAATTTCTCTAACACCCCAGATATAACTATCTTGAACATTCTAATAGTTTTTTAGTTCTGTGTTTCTGTGTGTATATATGTACATATATTAATGTTAGTATTGGATTCCAACTGCATGTCCCCCCACTCCTTTGTTTTTCCTATTGGAGTTTTAGTGATTTTTAAAAACTGATTGGTAATAGTTACTATATCTGCTTTCCCCTGCTATTTCTCAAAGTGTGATTTCCATGTGTTAAAATATACCCAAGCAGACAGACAAAATGCACTCCCTGTCGCTAAGATGAGACACACTGAAACAGAACCAAATGTCCTTAGCCAGGGTGAGGAGCTCATCCACATATTCCTGTGTTAATAATTATCACAAGGTTTTCTTCACTCTAATTAAGACAGCTGGATATTCTTCAACTGACCTCCAACAGACTGCCTGACACTAGCTGAGAGAATCCCATCACCCCACCTGCTTTGCAATTCTACCATAACTCCATTTGGACAGAGGATCAGCCTTGCCTTAGGATCACTCCTTCGTGATAAACAGCTGCAGACCTCATGCAGTTTGGGACAGCTTATACCTTTTGACAGGCATAGCCAAATTCCATCCCATTTTAATGCTATGACCTCATCTCAAACATGAAAATGTATGTTACATATATGTCTACACACTGCCTATTCACTTAACTGTCCTCATAATTGTTCATAAGCTTTCTTTTAAGACAGGCACTGAAGGCATAAATGACAACCTCCCTGTCCATTCTTCAGACCATGTACTTTTGGTTTCCTCCAGAGATTGCATTCCTCCAATCTGCAGGATTGTTTCCTTTTCTGAAAATAGTTTTCTCCTTTCTCTTCCACTGTAGATCTCATGGTCTTTTGTTAAAACATACAATTAAATATTATTCAAAAATATGATTTTCGTTGATTGACTGCCTAATATTCTGTTCTATAGATTATTGCATTCCCTTAATTCTTCACTGATAATTGACCATTGTTGCTTTCAAAGTTTTTCTCTAATAAATAATACTGTGACAAAAATCCCTGAAAGCAAATTTTTCACTGTCATTCTGAAATATTCCTCAAAGTGGAATGAGAGGGTGAGTCCATCTTAAGATTTTCATCATATATTGTCAAAGTTTCTCCTAGAAAGGTTGAATCCAATTGCATTCCCATCCATGGCAATGCCCATCTCAGTGCAAATCAACATGGCTAGCATCCACAGACATTAATCTCCATCAAGGGCATGCCTATGTCTGTATGGTTCTCCACTGTGTCTAAGAACTAACTCCATTAGATATTTATAGTCACCCAATAACTATTTCAGGAGAAAATAAATCTTTAAATCTTTCCAAGTAAAAAAAGTAGATGGTTCTTTTTCTTAAATTACCTAACAATGCCTTATAGATAACAGAGGTAAAAGTGTATGGTTGCTGCTTTTATGGGGGTAACAATCTCATGTTGAAGTCATTACAGTTTTAATTCAAATTTTTATACTACTAGTAAGGATTTTTTTCTTCTGTACTGGCTTTTTCTGCATTTTTTGTGAATTATCTAGTGATAGATTTCAGTTCTTTTTCTATCAGTATTTTCTAGTGCTTTTCTAGACATCCAGTGAGAGCACTTTATATATGATTAACAGTTTGTTTTATTTGTTGCATGTAGAGTTGTGCTATAGTTCAGTACTTGGATTGGTGTAACAGCTAGCTATACCAAACCATAACTTGGGAAAGTTAATTACTCTAAATCTTAACAATTGAGATTAAAATAAATCTACTTCAAAAGATTGTTGTGATAAATAAATGGGATAATTTATATGAATCTTTAAGTGCAGAATTTTAAATAGTAAACAGAATTTTAAATAGTAAAAACTAAATATTAGTTTTGTTATTAATTTATTACTATTTCTTTTGCTTAGGTCTTTCTCATACAAAGACTAATTAAAAACTTATTTCTTATTTCTGCTTAAAGTTATACAAATGTTTTTAGTTTACAATTCCCTTAGTGTTTCAGTAATTCTTTTAGGGTACCCCTAAGCCAAAAAATAATGCCTACTACTAGTGTTTATTAAATAATTAGGTCCAAAAAATTAAATAATTATTTATGTCCTACTAACAACTTATTATCTGTTTGAAAAAATACACATAAACTGAAAACATTTTTTAGTTTCATTTCTGCATAACTGCAATTATTCATGGGACATGTGTGTCCACTGGATACTGCAAAATTTATCAAACATTGGAATTAGATTGCACACTGCTGCTCTCACTTCTTGACACAAATTGAATTTTACTCTGTGTTTGCTTCTATCACAGAAATTATTGTAATAAAATACATGATGTCAATTTTACCTATGTAGCTCAATCTAATGAGGAAACTCTGTACCTAGAGTTAGTAGTTTGAATTGTATCTAAGAGATGTCGGGTACTGCTACATTTACCTTGAAAATCTAAAATATCTCATGGTGCCCCTCTGAGTTGACAGCAGTACCCTAGGTTGCCTTGGCATAAAGTGTAAGAACCATGGTGTTATATATATTTACATGAGTTTGTTTTCTTCTTTATGTGTAGTTCTTCATCTTTTATTTACTTTCAGTAATTTGAGAATTTTTTCTCTTTAATAGTAAAACTTACTATCATTGAAAATTTTTGTGGTTTATAATGTTTGCTTTATTACATATCAAAGTAATATAAACCACATGCATCAGAATCACCTTGAATACTTGTAAATAATGCCAGACTTAGTCAGAATACCTTCAGGTAGGACCTCAGAATCTGGATACTATAAGCAACATTGATTGATCGCCCTTGGAGACTTGAGAGCAATTATCCTGAGATATGTTTCTGGGTTATATATTCTATTCCACTAACCTTCTGTTGAGTTTAAGTCGGTTTATTCTTTGTGGCTATACAACATGTTGCCTTTGCAGGAATAAAAATGTTACTTCCGTAACTCTTTGTTAAATAGTTATTTGTAGTTGTTTATTTTGAAAATGAATTTGAGAATCTCTTTATATATTTCTCTTTCTCTCAACTCAAAAAAAAAAATCATACTTTATATAAGCCTCATATATCTTTAGTTAGGGCTGTTATTTCTAAATATTTGGAATGTGCTCCATGTGGTTGACATATTATCATCATTGTTATTGTAGATAAATACAAAATGTTTATATTTAGACATCTGTCTCAGTTAATTTGAATTTTCTGGGTATACAACCATATGCTTTTAAACAATGATATTTTGTACCCTTTCAAATATTTGTAATTCTTTATTTCCCTCTTTTGCCATATTTCTATAAGGGAATTTTAGAAATTAGATAACATCTTTGTCTTGAATTTCCTCCTGGTGTTTCCCTATTAAGGAAGACATAACTTTTACTTTGGGATATGTTTAATCATATTAAGAAGATTTACGTTTGTCTAGTTTTTAAAGGTTATGGCTTACAAAGCTTTTTTATTAATGTTAAAATATTTCCAAATATGTTTCTTATTGAGATGATGCATTTTTTCTTACACGTATTAATATTCACTCAATATGGGAGAGTGACTTGGAAAGCTGTATTCAAATACCCACTCCAGCACTTATTGACTGTGTGACTTTCAACAAGTTACTCTACCTCTCAGGGACTCAGTTCTCATCTGTAAATTAATAAAAAATCTATAGATTGTTGTTTAGATTAAAAGATTTGATATATATAAAATGCTTAAAATAACATATGGCATATTGTAAATGGCCAATACATTTTAGCTATCATCAGCATCATTGTAATTGTCACTGTCATTATTATGTGTCCTGGATTAAACATTACTTCATCTTTATAAAAATTATTTTAAGAAATTATTGAAATTATTTGGTATATTTTATTTAAAGTACCTCCATCTGTGTTCATGAGTGCTATCATTCTATAATTTTACTCTTTTCATTTTCCTAGGTTTTAATATGAGTTTTGTTAACTTCATACAACAGTAACTAATTTGCTATCATGTTCTGTCCCCTGGATGAATTTATAGCATGATTATTAATTGGGGGCTGAGGTAGTTCACAAGTAAAGCAATTTAGTTCTGCAGCCCCCTTCAAAGATGAATCATATCTCGTTATTTGTCTATAGAATCTTTATATAACCCTTTACACTAGTCTTTGTTTATATATTTTAAAATAATTCCTTTTTGTTTTTTCATTTTCTTTTTTTTTATTATTATACTTTAAGTTCTAGGGTACATGTGCACAAAGTGCAGGCTCCTTACATAGGTATACATGTGCCATGCTGGCCTGCTGCACCCATCAACCCATCAGTTACATTAGGTATTTCTCCCAGTGCTATCCTTCCCCCTGGTCCCACCCCATGACAGGCCCTGGTGTGTGACCTCTCCCACCCTGTGACAAAGTGTTCTCACTGTTCAATTCCCACCTATGAGTGAGAACATGTGGTGTTTGGTTTTCTGTCCTTGTGATACTTTGCTCAGAATGATGGTTTCCAGCTTCATCCATGTCCGTTCAAAGGACATGAACTCATCCTTTTTTATGGCTACATAGTATTCCATGGTGTTTATGTGCCACATTTTCTTAATCCAGTCTATCATTGATGGACATTTGGGTTGGTTCCAAGTCTTTGCTATTGTGAATAGTGCTGCAATAAATATATGTGTGCATGTCTTTATAGTAGCATGATTTATAATCCTTTGGGTATATACCCAGTAATGGGATCACTGGGTCAAATGCTATTTCTAGCACTAGATCCTTGAAGAATCACCACACTGTCTTCCACAATGGTTAAACTAGTCTATACTCCCACCAACAGTGTAATAGCGTTCCTATTTCTCCACATCCTCTCCAGCATCTGTTGTTTCCGGACTTCTTAATGATTGCCATTTTAACTGGTGTAAGATGGTATCTCATCATGGTTTTGATTTTCATTTCTCTGATGACCAGTGATGATGAGCATTTTTTCATGTGTCTGTTGGCTGTATACATGTCTTCTTTTGAGAAGTGTCTGTTCATATTCTTTGCCAACTTTTTGATAGGGTTTTTTGTTTGTTTTTTTCCTGTAAATTTGTTTAAGTTCTTTGTAGATTCTGGATATTAGCCCTTTGTTGGATGAGTAGATTGCAAAAATTTTATCCCATTCTGTAGGTTGCCTGTTCACTCTGATGGTAGTTTCCTTTGCTGTGCAGAAGCTCTTTAGTTTAACTGGATCCATTTATCTATTTTGGCTTTTGTTTCCATTGCTTTTGGTATTTTAGTCATGAAGTCCTTGTCCATGCCTATTTCCTGAATGGTATTAGCTAGGTTTTCATCTAGGTTTTTATGGTTTTAGGTCTAACATTTAAGTCTTTAATCCATCTTGAATTAATTTTTGTATAAGGTGTAAGGAAGGGATCCAGTTTCAGCTTTCTACATATAACTGGCCAGTTTTCCCAACACCATTTGTTAAATAGGCAATCCTTTTCCCATTGCTTGTTTTTTGTCAGGTTTGTCAAAGATCAGATGATTACACATCTGTAGTATTATTTCTGAGGGCTCTGTTCTGTTCCATTGGTCTGTCTCTCTGTTTTGGTACAAGTACCATGCTGTTTTGGTTAATGTAGCCTTGTAGTATAGTTTGAAGTCAGGTAGCATGATGCCTCCAGCTTTGTTCTTTTTGCTTAGGATTGACTTGGCAATGCAGGCTCTTTTTTGGTTCCATATGAACTTTAAAGTAGTTTTTTCCAATTCTGTGAAGAATGTCATTGGTAGCTTGATGGGGATGGCATTGAATCTATAAATTACCTTGGGCAGTATGGCCATTTTCACAATATTGAGTCTTCCTATCCATGAGCATGGAATGTTCTTCCATTTGTTTGTGTCCTCTTTTATTTCATTGAGCAGTGGTTTGTAGTTCTCCTTGAAGAGGTCCTTCACATCTCTTGTAAGTTGAATTCCTAGGTATTTTATTCTCTTTGTAGCAATTGTGAATGGGAGTTCACTCATGATTTGGTTCTCTGTCTGTTTTTGGTGTGTAAGAATGCTTGTGATTTTGGCATATTGATTTTATGTCCTGAGACTTTGCTGAAGTTGCTTATGAGCTTAAGGAGATTTGGGGCTGAGACGATGGGGTTTTCTAAATATACAATCATGTCATCTGCATACAAGGACAGTTTGACTTCCCCTTTTCCTAATTGAATACCCCTTATTTCTTTCTCTTGCCTGATTGCCCTGGCCAGGACTTCCAACACTATTTTGAATAGGAGTGGTGAGAGAGGGCATCCCTGTCTTGTGACAGTTTTCAAAGGGAATGCTTCCAGTTTTTGCCCATTCAGTATGATATTGGCTATGGGTTTGTCATAAATAGCTCTTATTATTTTGAGATACATTCCATCAGTACCTAGTTTATTGAGAGTTTTTAGCATGAAGCACTGTTGAATTTTGTTGAAATCCTTTTCTGCATCTATTGAGATAATCATGTGGTTTTTGTCGAAGATTCTGTTTAGTGATGGATTACATTTATTGATTTGCGTATGTTGATCCAGCCTTGAATTCCAGGGATGAAGCTGACTTGATCATGGTGGAGAAGCTTTTTGATGTCCTGCTGGATTTGGTTTGCCAGTATTTTATTGAGGATTTTTGCATTGATGTTCATCAGGGATGTTTGTCTAAAATTCTCTTTTTTTTATTGTGTCTCAGCCATGCTTTGGTATCAGGATGATGCTGGCCTCATAAAATGAGTTAGGGAGGATTCCCTCTTTTTCTATTGATTGGAATAGTTTCAGAAGGAACAGTAGAAGCTCCTCTTTGTACCTCTGGTAGAATTCAGCTATGAATCTGTCTGGTCCTGGACTTTTTTTGGTTGGTAGGCTGTTAATTATTGCCTCAATTTCAGAGCCTGTTATTGGTCTATTCAGAGATTTAATTTCTTCCCAGTTTAGTCTTGGGAGGGAGTATGTGTCCAGGAATTTATCAATTTCTTCTAGATTTTCTAGTTTATTTGCTTAGAGGTGTTTATAGTATTCTCTGATGGTAGTTTGTATTTCTGTGGGATGCGTGATGATATCTCCTTTATTGTGTCTATTTGATTCTTCTCTCTTTTCTTTTTTATTAGTCTTGCTAGTGGTCTATCAATTTTGTTGATCTTTTCAAAAAACCTGCTCCTGGATTCATTGATTTTTTGAAGGGATTTTTGTGTCTCTATCTCCTTCAGTTCTGCTCTGATATTAGTTATTTCTTGCTTTCTGCTAGCTTTTGAATTTGTTTGCTCTTGAGTCTTTAGTTCTTTAAATTCTGATGTTAGGGTGTCAATTTTAGATCTTTCCTGCTTTCTCTTGTGGGCATTTAGTGCTATAAATTTCCCTCTACACACTGCTTTAAATGTGTCCCAGAGATTCTAGTATGTTGTGTCTTTGGTCTCATTGGTTTCAAATAACATCTTTATTTCTGCCTTCATTTGATTATTTACCCAATAAATAATTCTGCCTTTAGCATTTTTTTCTTCATTTCAACCTTGGTGAATCTGACAATTATGTGTCTTCAAGTTGCTCTTCTCGAGGAGTATGTTGGTGGTGTTCTTTGTATTTCCTGAATTTAAATGTTGGCCTGATTTTATAGGTTGAGGAATTTCTGGATAGTATCCTGAAGAGTGTTTTCCAACTTGGTTGCATTCTCCCTGTCACTCTCAGGTACACCAATCAAACGTAGCTTGGTCTTTTCACATAGTCCCATATTTCTTGGAGGCTTTGTTCATTTCTTTTTACTCTTTTTTCTCCAAACTTCTTTTCTTGCTTTATTTCATTAATTTGATCTTCAATTTCTGATATCCTTTCTTCCACTTGATTGAATCAGCTATTGAAGTTTGTGCATGCATCACGTTGTTCTCGTGCCATGGTTTTCAGTTCCATCAGGTCATTTAAGGTCTTCTTTACATTATTTATTCTAGTTAGCCATTCGTCTAATCTTTTTTCAAGGTTTTTAGCTTCCTTGCTATGGGTTCAAACATCCTCCCTTGTTTAGCTCAGAGAAGTTTGTTATTACCGACCTTCTGAAGCCTACTTCTGTCAGTTCATCAAAGTCATTCTCCATCCAGCTTTGTTCTGTTGCTGGCGAGGAGCTGTGATCCTTTGGAGGAGAAGAGGTGCTCTGGTTTTTAGAATTTTCAGGTTTTCTGCTCTGGTTTCTCCCCATCTTTGTGGTTTTATCTACCTTTGGTCTTTGATGTTGGTGACCTACAGAAGGGGTTTTTGTGTGGATGTCCTTTCTGTTGATGTTCTTGCTATTGCTTTCTGTTTGTCAGTTTTCCTTCTAACAGTCAGGACCCTCAGCTGCAGGTCTGTTGGAGTTTGCTGGACATCCACTCCAGACCCTGTTTGCCTGGTATCACCAGCAGAGGCTGCAGAACAGCAAATATTGCACAACAGCAAATATTGCTGCCTGATCCTTCCTCTGGAAGTTTCGTCTCAGAGGGGCATCCACCTGTATGAGGTGTCAGTCTACCCCTACTGGGAGGTGTCTCCCAGTTAGGCTACACGGGGGTCAGGGACCCACTTGAGGAGGCAGTCTGTCTCTTCTCAGAGCTCAAACACCATGCTGGGAGAACCACTGCTCTCTTCAGAGCTGTCAGACAGGGACATTTAAGCCTGCAGAAGTTTCTGCTGCCTTTTGTTCAGCTGTGCCCTGCCCCCAGAGGTGGAATGTACAGAGGCAACATGCCTTGCTGAGCTGCAGTGGGCTCTACCCAGTTCAAGCTTCCCTGCCTGCTCTGTTTACCTACTCAAGGCTCAGCAATGGCGGACACCCCTCCCCAGCCAGGCAGGCTGCTGCCTTGCAGTTCCATCTCAGACTGCTGCTCTAGCAGTAAGCAAGGCTCTGTGGGCTTGGGACCTGCTGAGCTAGGCGCTGGATATAGTCTCCTGGTGTGCCATTTGCTAAGACGTTTGAAAAATTGTGGTATTTGGGCAGGAGTGTCCCAATTTTCCAAGTACAGTCTGTCACAGCTTCCCTTGGCTAGGAAAGGGAAATCCCCTGACCCCTTGCACTTCCCAGGTGAGGCAATGCCCTGCTCTGTTTCTGCTTGCCCTCTGTGGGCTGCACCCACTGTCCAACCAGTCCAAGTGAGATGAACCAGGTACCTCAGTTGGAAATGCAGAAATCACCTGTCTTCTGCGTCGATCACGCCGGGAGCTGTGGGCCGGAGCTGTTCCTATTTGGCCGTCTTGGAATGAAATTTTTGTGGTCCTTTTCACTTTCTTGATAGGGTTGTGATGGAGGCTGAGAAGTCCAACTTCAAGGGACCACATCTGGTAAGACCCTTCATTCTGATGAGAGCCTTCATGCTGGTGGGACTTTCTTTCAGGGTTCCAAGGTGGTGCAGGGCATCACATGGTGATGGACCTGAGTGTGCTATTAAAATAATTCTTTCATTCCATCAGTATTTTCTATTTTATCAGCTTAGAATTGTGAATAGTGTTTATATATGCTATGTACTCCCCATATTTATTATTGTATAACCTAGTTCTATATTTCCCTCCCATTCCTATAAGAAAAGGGAGCAAGTGCTTCCCCCTCATTTCAAGTCATGTAAGAAGGACTTCAAGGAGGCCACTTAGAAAGCATGATTTATTTCCCTTGGAGATTGGGGAGCATATTTGGCTAATGTCAGACTAATGCCTGGTGAATGCATGAAGAGCTGGTCTACAAGCTAGAGGTGGACCATAAGAAGATAAGAATACATTGGGAAAGAGCTGCTTTTCCACTGGGAGCAGAGCAGAAATTGTGTTTCCCATGGCATATACGTGTGCTACATGGAAGGGAACCAGCCCAGGTTCATGACAAAAAGGACCTCTCAAAGAGGGCTTCTTGAAAAGGGTGAGGCAACTCTGTAGACAGTGGAGTATATTAGATATCTAAAACTGAGAGTATATTTTAAGCAATGTTGTTCTCATAAATGTTTAATATTCAGCTCTTTTTTGAAAAAAACTACGACTCATGTGAAAAATATGTATGAGGCAATTCACAAATAATTATGAAATATGCAATATTTATATTGTAAATTTAAATAGCCAAAGCATTCCCTAGCAACCTTTTCTTTCCTTGATTTTTCCTGAATTCTTGAATCCCTAGCCAACCTATCATTCCAATGGATAAATTAGTATAAATCTGAAATGATGGTGGTTGATATTTTTGTCTACATTGATGAGCAAAATGAAAGTAAAACAGCAAAGACATACATTGGGCCCTCATTTGCTCTTAATAACATAATGACTTCCTTGCTGATTAAATAATCGTTTTCAAATACTGGAAAAGAGAGCCTTAGTTGTTTGTGCTATTCACAGTGTAATGGTTGCAAGCAGAACATACTTTTATTAATATTTCTCTCATAATTTTATTGAGTCTATACAACCAATCAAACAATAAATAAGGCCTTTATTTATAGTATTTGCCCTATGGTGTTCATACTTCCACCGTGGCCAATTTAAACCTACCAATATGATGTCACTGAATGCAGAATTAGAAAGCATTTTACATTGTTCAGTTTTTCACCATTACACAGTCAATCTTCAATATTTGTGTATTCTATACGTGTGAATTACACTTCTGGTTAAAAATTTATTTGTTACCCCAAAGTAATGTTTATGGTCATTTCATGGTCATTCACAGACATGCATAAAATGGCAAAAACTTGAGTTTCCTGATACTCATGTTCCCAGCTGAGGTTGAATAAGACAACACTCTACCTTCTCATTTAAATTATCATACCATAAGCAACCTTGTGCCATATTTTTCACACTTTTGTGCCTTTTTTTGGTGCTTTTCTGTTTAAAATGGTCTCCAAGCATAATGCTGACATGCAGTATAGTGTTCTTAATTGCAGAAGGCTGCGATATGCCTTATGGAAAATACATGCATTAGATAATCACCTTCTTCCAAACATGAGTTATAGTGCTGCTGGCCTTGACTTCAGTGTTAATGAATCAATAATATGTATAAAATAGGTGTATCTAAATGGAAACATATATAAAACGAGCTTATGTATTGATCAGTTGAGAAAAGGTCCTGACTACAGGTTTGCAGAAACCTAATTCTGAACTTCCCCTAGCAGCATGGTTCAGTGTCCACTAATTCATTGTTCACTATAACTTCATATAACCTAACTACTGCAAATAATGAGACTTTCTTATGTAGTATTTCTGTCATACAGATAGACATAGATAACTTCAAGATCATAGAAAATGGTAAAATATAGTGAAATTCTTAGAAAGTGATTAGTTTTTAGGTTTTACCTTTGTTTTTAAAATCATTAACAATATGTTTACAGTATTTGTTTTTTTCATAATGGCTGGGCTGGCTCATAAAATTTCTGAAAATTTAACAGTTTGCTCTTGTGAGGCTATATATGCCATCTCTTGCACACCACTAAGTAGAAGCAACTAGGAAGAACCTATTTTGGGGGCACAAAGCAGATTTTAAGGAAAAAGAAACCCATCTGTGTGTAATATTAGGTAAAATTAAGTGGTACAAAGAAAAACTGAAGAAGGCAAGGAAGTTATATGTCAGAGGTGAGCAAAAATGTTTACTAGGATGACCAGGCAATCCCTCACTGAAAAGATGGCTTATGAGTTGGACCCAAGGGAAGCAAGAGAGCAAGTCCTATCGATGTTGAGGGGAATAATTTTTCATACAGTGAAAATACTGAGTGCAAAGGCTGTGATATGACAGCATGACTGCTGTGTCTGAGGAGGACTAGAATGGCTGGCTCAGAGTGGCCAACAGATTCAGTACTAGATGAGATCAGATTGTTAAAAAAAAAGGGGGGGGACCAGAAAATGTTGAACTTCATAGATGATTGTAAGACTTTTTCTTTCACTATAGATGATGGTAAGACATTTTCTTTCACTCTGAGTGAGATGGAAAGCTGTTGGAGAGTTGTTAGCAGGGGGTGATAAAATCTAACTTCTTGCCAGGTTTGCTCTGTTGGGAATAAATTACAGCTGGGCAAATATGGAATCTGGGAAACCAGTTAAGTTACTATTACTGTTTTCCAGGTAAGACATGAGTATGGCTTATCTAAGGATGGTGGCAGTGCAAATGGAAAGAATTGGTCAGAATTTAGATATGAATTGAAAATAAAACTTATAGGACTAGCTGCTAGAATTAATGTGGTATAAGAAATTAAAAAAGTCATCAAGAATGATACCCATTATTTTAGTCTGAATAATTGAAAAGTAGAGAGAGGAAATTTTCAGAAATTCTATGTATGGGGGTGAAGGGAAAGATAACAGAAACTCAGCTGTGAATATATTAAGTTTGTAATTTCTAGATTATATTGTGCATATATTAAGTTTTTGGTTTCTAGATTTCATTCAAGTAGAGATGTCAGGTGGACATTGGATATATGAATGAATCTTTTAGTCAGTGGAGCATTTTAAGTTTGAGAGTCATCAGTACATATTCTAGGTGGAATCACTTATAAGTACAGAGAACAAAGAGGGGAACTTTGTGGGATACTCCTACATTTAGAGGCTATGACTATAAAAAGAAACCAGACTAAGAAGATGGAAGCAGAGATGTAGGTGGTAAACATGAAGAGTATAATGCCCTGGAAATCAAGATAAGAAGATGTTGCAAGGGGAAAAGGTTGATGAAATGTCATCTGCTCTTGCAGTTCAGTGAAGACAGAGAAATAACCATTGAATTTAGAAATGTGCAATTTCATTGGTAACACCATTTTCTTTGACATGTTGAAGTGGGTGAAAATCTTTTGGAATAGGTTTATGAGAAAATGGGAGGAGGGATATTAGAGACAGCTATATAGAAAATTCCCTCCAAAAGTTTTGCTATAAAAGGTATGACATGGGGGCACTATTTGGTAGGGAGTAGAGTAAATTTGGAACGGATTTATTTTGTTGTATATGCTGATATCATCTAGAGTGGGAACTATGTAGAGTGGAAAAAAGGTAGTAATGTAGGAAATCAAGAGAATTGCTCTAGCAGTGTCTGTGGGTGGATGAGAAGGCATGAGATCTAGCACACAGGGTGAGGCATTGTTCGTTGTTCATGAAATGTCCACATTCTTATAAATAGGGTAGAGTATAAGGTAAAATGAAGGTAAGAGGGTAAAAGTTTTGTAGATACTTTTTTATGTTCTCTTCAATATTCTAAGCTGAATAAAATTTTAAGGTGATTGGCAAAGTTTATTAGTATTATGTCTTCATATATCATGCATCTTTAAATAAAATAATAGTCAAACTTTAACCCATTTAATTTTTCTGCCTCTGCAAATAGTATTGACATCTCTGATATTTTATTATTTTATTGTTTACAACCATCTGATACATCATTGCTTATTCTGTTTATTTTTTAATTAAGTCCTTTTGTGACTTTTTGGGGGGCATGTCTTTTCTAATAAAAATATAATTGGACTTACATTTTTTAACTTGAGCAACTTTATTTTTTAATAAGAAAGTAAGTCCAGGCCAGATGTGGTGGGTCATGCCTGTAATCCCAGAACTTTGGGAGGCCAGGGTGGGCAGATCTCTTGAGGTCAGGAGTTGGAAACCAACCTGGCCAACATGGTGTAACCCCATCTCTACTAAAAGTACAAAAATTAGCTGGGCAAGGTGGCACATGCCTGTAATCCTAGCTACTCTGAAGGCTGAGGCAGGAGAATCACTTGAACCCAGGAGGCAGAGGTTGCAGTGAGCCACAAGTCCAATTATATCTGTCATAATATAATATTTTGTTTTGTTTTGTTTACATGTTTTTTATAGTTTATGTTAATTAGGGCTATATGGATGGATATATCATTACCAGTCATCTGAATAGTGTATATCTTGATTTTAGCCTATTGTTAATTATATTTAAATTTTCAAAAAATTATCTAACAAAACTTTATAAATCAACCAGTCAGTAATAAAACTGTAGCTTCTAAGAAGTTTCAGTGTAAGCAAGATAATTATTACAATTTCATTGCTTTCTGAAATCATATAGGCCTTCCCTAAGGTAATCTGGAATCTTAGACCAAGCTAATTACTAAAATATTTTATATCATATACTATCTTTCAAGCATATTACTTTACTTACTTTGTTATCAAAGCTAGATTTATAATTATACTTTAGAGGCTTACATTTATCTCTAACTGGTTTTAATACTTAAATTATACTTCTTAATATGACAGTATTCTTATTATTTCCTTCCTAATTATCATTCATCTTCACTCATTTGAAATGCATTTTTAAGTGATTTTTTGGGTGGGTAATTGTTATGGACTGAATGTTTATACTTCTCCCAAATTCACTGGTTGATACCCTAACAACCAATGTGATGGCGTTTGGACATGGGGCCTTTGGAAAGTAATTAGATTTAGATGAGGTCAAGAGGGTGGGACCCGCATGATGGGATTGGTGACCTTAGGAGAAGAGGAAGAGAGAACAACACTCTCTCTTTTTCCATCATGTGAAGAAGACAAGAAGGCATCCACCTGCAAACCAGGAAACAGGCCCTTACCAGGAACTGTATCGGACAGCACCTGTATCTTAGACTTCTCAGCCACAGAACAGTGGGAAATAAATTTCTGTTGTTTAAGCCATCCAGTCGATGGTATTTAGATATGGCAACCCAGTCAGACTAAGACAATAATAGTGGATGTTACTACATGGATGGATGGATAGATAGATAGATAGATAGATAGATAGATAGATAGATAGATAGATAGATAGATAGATGGAGATTTGTCTTAACCGCTTGCTTTTCTGAAAATTTAGAGTTTGCCTTCACACTTAAAAATAAATCAGACTGCCTGCAAAATTCAAGAGCCCCAGTTTTTCCCATCAAGACTTTGTACATGTTTATTCAGTTTCTCTGATCATTTAGTGTTATAGAAACATCAAATTCCAGCCTTGTTTTTCTTCCCACCCCCTTAAAATTTTCCTTCTTTCTCTTCCCCTTTCAATTTTCTTGCCCTGCCTTCCTCCCTCTCTTCCTTCTTCTCTTCCTTCCTTTCAACTTTTTGTTCTTCATAGGTTGGGTTATTCCCTGCTGATGGGAGCCGATGGCAATATTATTTACCTTTGAATTTCAGAGTTGTCCAAGAATATATTTATGTTTAAATATCTTACTTTTTCCTGAAATATGTATAGGATTAAATTTTGTAACCTCATTAAATTAGAGACATATACATATATATTTATATATATATATATTTACAGATGAATTATGTTTTATTTTGATTAGTATTCCAATTGTTTTATTTTCTCTTTTAGGAATTACTGAAATTCTTACATATTTACTTCTGCTCTTTTTCTTTCCAGTTCTCTTGAAATAAATTTTGACCTATTCACTATTTATTTTTCTTTACTAAAGCTCTCAAATTTATTCTCCAAATTGCTAGCATTTCTATTTTTAATTTATGCTATTTATTGATTCTAATAAACAGTTACATTGATTATTAAACATTTGGATTACTTACAATCCTTACATCATTTATGTACCTCCTTCTCTATCTCATCATGTTGGAATTTTATCTATGATTATTCAGCCCTTGTAGTTTTCTGCTTCTGTTTTATTAAAGCCATGTCTTCTTTCATTAAATTTAAGTTTGCCTCATAGCTATCTAAAAATTGATTCTGGTTTTTGAAGTAAATAATTTTCAGCTTCACTCCCCTATCAGCCTTCAAAGTAGATTTTCTTTTCTTTCTTCTAAAATGTATTGCAGAGGTTTCCCACATCGTGTTTTTGTTTACTATTCTTCAAAGAATAAAACTGACTTTCTCAGGACAGTTCACATCTACAATATGTAGTACTCTCTCACCTCCACTCTGTAGCTTCAATGCCATGCTTCTCAAATGTGGGGTTGTATGGTATGTTTATAGACATTATTTATAGCCCAATTCCTGAAATCTAGCAGCCATCAATCCAACTGTTTTTATCAATCCACCATGGTTCTTCAGGCCTGATATAAGCATATCTAGCTCTCTGACACATAAATGAGGATAGATTTATAAACATAAATATGCATGGAAATATAGATAGATTTATAAATATAAATATATATACATACACATATATTTATGTTTAGATTTATATTGTATAATTGTTTATATATATATGTATATATATATATAAAACCTTCCACTATTAGACAATTAGACATTATTCCCCCTTTCCTTTCCCAGTACATGCAAAACAATGATTCTTCTAGTTGACCACTTCTGGGACATTTTCTTTATCCTTTCCTAGTACATAACACTCTACCATCCCCCAACTCCATCCTCAGTATGCTATGCATGATTATTCATCCCAAATTATTTCCTTTCCAGTTGTTTATGTTCAGCTAATGTGAGACACTAATGTGATAGTATTTTGGAACAAACATTCGGTGCTGGTTGGGCGAGGGGGTGAATGACTCTCTAGCTATTCGAAAAGCAGTAATCATGCAGTAGTTAAGTAGATTAAGGTCAACACATTGCTGAGATTCAAAAACTTACGTTTTTCAAACAGATGGCAATGCTTAGGATATGTTTTGAATAGGGCAAAAGGTAATAGAAAGCAAAATTTTCTACTGATTTTTAGGAAAGCAGTTCTATGTAGTCCCCTTTAATTAGGACATGTAATGAACTCAATTAGAAACTTCTTTTAGTCTATAGATTTCTAAAGGTCAGAGTTTCCTTGGAGAAATCTGCATCAGCAGGGCATGAGAGGACTGTTATAGAGACCCTGAGAAGTAAAAGATGCATAAACTTCCTTTCCAGTTCTTCACAGCCCTTCAATGACACCGAATAAGACCAGGTAGTGCCCTTTCCTCCAAGGAAAGAATCATTGAGTTTAGAGGATTGGAAGGATGCAGAAGGCTGAACAGGGGCTACCAAACCAAGCAAAGTAACCTCACAACTAGACAGAGGGTTTTTGTTTTTTGCATGGCTTCTGGAAGGACTAAAGAGTACCTAAGCCTCCCCTCCCTATGGAATATTCCCTTATGACAGGAAAGATGGAATGACTTGAGTACTTTTTTGAGGAAACTGTATATAGTATCCTCTGCAAAGACCACTAACATCAGACTGAACAAGGTCTAACTGGAGTAGTGATTAAGGATAATTTCTATGCCAACATACACTTCGATAAATAAGATCTCTGCCTCTACTTTCCTGTATCTCTGGCCCCGACTTTTGAATAGTTAAATCCAGAAAAGGAAATGACCCAGAGCCTGGCTGAGATCTCTCTCCAGGCCAAGGTACTAAAGTAGGAAGAGGAAAGGAAGTAGATCCCATCCCCTGCCCAATTCTAAGCACCTTCAACCTGTCCCGGGGGAATCTGTATTGAGTATGAGATGGAATTTAATATGGACTGGACTAAGTTTAATTCAGCCATGTGCACATAATAATGTATCAGTCAACAATGGACCACATATACTTCTGTGGATTCATGAGATTATAATTAAGCTGAATAATTCCTATCACCTAGTGACATTGTAGCCATTGAAATGTCATTGTGCAACATGTTACTCAGGTGTCTGTGATGTTGGTGTAAACAAACCTACAGAGCCATCAGTCTTATCAAAGTATAGCACATACAATTATGTACACTACATAATTCTTGATAATGATAGTAAAGAACTACGTTACTGGTTTATGCATTTACTAGATCATACTTTTTTTCATTATTTTAGAGTATACTCCTACTTGAAAAAACAAGGTAACTGTAAACGGCCTCAGGCAGGTCTTTCAGGAGGTGTTCCAGAAAAAGTCTTTTTTTTGTTGTTTTTACTTTTAAGTTCAGCAGTACAAGTGTAGGTTTGTTATATAGGTAAACTTGTGTCATGGGGGTTTGTTGTACAGGTTATTTCCTTACCCAAGTATTAAGCCTAGCACCCATTAGTTATTTTTCCTGATCCTCTTCCTCCTCTCAACCTCCACCTTCTGAAAGGCTCCAGTGAAAAGTCCTTGTTATCAGAGGAGATGACAGCTCTATGTGTGTTATTGTCCTTGAAGATGTGACATTGATGATCCTGACCCTGTGTAAACCTAAGCTAAGATGTGTGTTTGTGTCTTAATTTTTAAACAAAAAAGTTTAAAAAGTAAAAAATAAAAATAAAAAGAAGAAAAAGCTTACTAAAAAGGATATAAAAAAGAAAAATATTTTGTGCAGCTGTGTAATGTGTCTGTTTTAAAGTGTTATTGCAAAAGAGTCAAAAGTTAAAAAAAATTAAAGTGTAGAAGTAAAAAAGTTACAGTAAGATTAATTTATTACTGAAGAAAGAAAAATATATTCTATAAGTTTAGTGTAGAGTGTTTATAAAGTCTATGGTAGTATACAGTAATGACTTAGGCTTTCACATTTACTTCTTACTCACTCACTGACTCACCCAGAACAGATTTCAGTCCTGTAAGGTCCATTCATGGAAGGTGCTCTATATAGATGTTGTGATGGTTAATATTGAATGTCAACTTAATTGGATTGAAGGATGCAAAGTATTGTTCCTGGGTGTGTCTGTGAGGGTGTTGCCAAAGGAGATTAATATTTGTGTCAGTAGACTGGGAGAGGCAGACCCACCCTCAATCTGGGTGGGTGTCATTTAATCAGTTGCCAGCATGGCTAGAATAAAGCAGGCAGAAGAAAATGGAATGAGACTTCCCTTGCTGAGTATTCTGGCCGTCATCTTTCTCCCATGCTGTATGATACCTTCCCTGAAACATCAGATTCCAAGTTCTTTAGCTTGTGGACTCTTGAACATACACCAGTGATTTGCCAGGGGCTCTTAGGCCTTTGGTCACAGACTGAAGGCTGCACTGTCGGCTTCCCTACTTTTGAGGTTTTGGAAGTCGAACTGGCTTCCTTACTCCTCAGCTTGCAGATGGCCTATTGTGGGACTTCACCTTGTGATCGTGTGAGTCAATTTTCCTGATAAACTCCCCTTCATATATGCACATATATCCTATTAGTTCTCTCCCTTTAGAGAACCTTGACTAATGCAGGTGTACTATTTTCTGTATTTTGTGTCACATTTTTACTGTACCTTTTCTATCTTTAGATACACTTATACTTACCATTGTGTTACAGTTGACCACAGTATTCAGTCAGTAAAATGTTGTGCAGGTTTGTAGCTTAGGAGTAATAGGCTATACCATATAACCTAAGTGTGTGATAGGGTATACCATCTAGATTTGTGTAAATATACTCTATGATGTTCACCTAATCATAGGTAATTATGAAATCACCTAATGGCACATTGCTCAGAATATATCCCTATTGTTAAGTGAGGGATACACATGACAGTAACTGAAAAAGATTAGGAAGCCTTGAAGTCTTACAAAATATATATATCATATATATGTGTATATATATGTATATATAATATATATACATATATAATATTTATATATACATATATATAACATATGTATATATATAGAGAGAGAGAGAAAGTAAAAGAAAAATTGGCATATCGTGAAAATTCAAGAAAAAAATGTGAAAGCAATTTATGTAAATAAACAATATGAGATTTTTCAATAACCAGTAATACACAGTTTTGGAAAGTTCAGATGTTCTATTTTGAACTCAAAAAACATGTTTCCTGGTATTTTCTTCACATTACCAGCATATTCTCTATATCTAATGCATAATTATATTTTAGTCTTATACATATCTTTCACAGTCCTTCACACTTATTTTAGGTAGTCTTCTCTAGGTTCTTACTAATACATACAAGTCCAACTTATTCTTTCCTAAAGGCAAGGGTTATTTTCATCTCTCAAAATAGACAAAAGAAGGCAAAACCCCATGTATATAAAATCATGTAAGTATATGCGTAGAAGGATACAGGTTTATGATTACATAAGAAAATGTCACCGACTGGGTAAAATATATGTGAGAACTGGACACAGATCCTAACATTTTCAAAGCAAGCACAATATACAGACCAAGAAAGTTCAAAGACAAAAGTCAGGAAAAAAAAAAAAAACTTACGATTAGGACCACAATAAATCTTTGAATACGTGTAAAAATCTATGAAGGAAAATAAGCTTTTTTCCTTTGCAAATCAACATTTAGCAGTTATCCACTCTGTGTTGAGTACCAAAATTGGTATCACAGCTCATTCTTCAGGCCCTAAAAACACCTTCCTACGCTTCCCTTCCCTATGGGGAATGATGCAGCAGAGGGTTAGAACACAGTCTCTGGATCACAAAGCCCAGTGCAGGGCCCCATTTGCAGGCTAAGGGCGATATTGCTCTTAGGATGGATCTTTACTGCAGTCCAAACAAAAGCCATGTTTTATGCAAAGGAAGTGCCTGATGATACTATTCTGAGCAGAGGTTCATGGATTGGGCAACTTTAGTCAAGGGAGAGATTAGGTATGTCAGGCACCAATATAAAAATATCAAGTCCATAATTCTCATTGACTTACTCCATTTAGGTAGTGAGAACAGAAATGGAGTGACAGCCCAGGGAATCTTTTCCTTCATGAACCAGCTCCATGACCTGAGGCTGCTCCCTTGAACTCCCTGGCTTTCATTCTCTAGATGATTGAAGATAAGTGACATTGTACTGCAGGAAAGTTTTCAGCAATTTTTGAAGGATAGTAAAGAAGGTATAATATGGTCCTATTTTTCTTTGTTTAGGTTTTTTTAAAATTCATTTTTAATGAAGAATATTGAAATCCAAAGTGTGCCAAAAGTCTTAGTACACTTTTACACCTTAATAACTTCAAAAGTGTAATACTACAAATTTATTTTTAAATCAGCATTTTAAAGTTCAATTAGGTCTAATTACTTTACTTTTTTTAGATTTTTGAATTTTGAATAATACAGTTTTTAAATTTTTGCTTTAATAGTTTGTCACCTTCAATTAGAGAGACTAAAGCCAAAAGTTAATGTAAAAAATTCATTAAAATCATGAAAACCTATAACTGGTTATCAAATGTAAATAATGATGCTTTCAAGTGAATGTTTACATAAGCTTTAGCATTTATACATCTGAACTTACTAAAGCCGCACCTGTACTAAAGTTTCTGGGAGAGTGTGTTTACGATGTAGGCAACTTTCTTATGATCGACTGACTAATGCAGTCAAAATATGCAGGCTTTTTTAAAATACTTCTTGATTTAATATACTTCTAACATCTTTTGCAGCATTTCTGGCAGAAGCTCTCAGTTTTGTGAATTCTTAAAATTCTTTGTGAGTGGCTAAAAAATATATCGGGTTGAAGGTTAAAGTTGAAATCAGTACAGGTAACTGGAGACAGACAGTAGGGAAACAGTTCAGACAAAGAAGAGTCAAAATGGAAGTAAGATGGTGAACACTCATCAGCTGGCTGAGGTGCAACCAGGCTTAATCAATAAAAACTAAAGACAAGAAGCAAATACAGAGAAACATAATGGTTTTCTGTGTCACGTAAAGATAATATGGTTTTATTGATATACATTTTACCTGTAATATGATTTGTGTTTTAAAATAAATTTCTCTACACTTATTTTCTTAGAAGAAAGCACAGATTTTCATCTTTTTCTCATAGTGACACTGTAAGTGTTGAATGGGTTTTTGAAAAACAAGTAAGATTAGAAAGACTGGGACACTACAGAGATGACACCCATATAGAAAGATATAGAATATATCTTTATATATAGAATATATAGAAGCAAATTATCTTAGGTATGAAGAAAAATACCTTACTTTTTTTTCTGGAAGTGAACATTCACAGGTTTTTAATGTGTGAATATAAAATGGAAACCATATTTTTTATAATTAACTGAAGCAATTATACAATATTTGAGGTAAAAAGCTAATGGGTCCTAAACAATTACATATTGTTATCAAGAGTCTTGTGTTAAAATAGATAACCAAATATCAAGAAAATAATTTTCCTCATCTGAAATAGTTTCCCTGAGCCATCACTGATGTGTTTTCTGAAAATCTGTAAGTTTTAAAATTTGAAACTTATTTACGTTTTTTATAGATAGAGCTACATTTATTTACATGCATACAGAGATTTTAGAGAATGTGTTGGATTCAGAAGAGATTACTTTGAGTTCTCCTATAGAACCAAAAATATACCATGCACTAGGCCCCCCAAACTTCTAATAAATGGCCATACTGAATACAGTTTGATTGTCACTTCTGTGTCCTCTAACTATCACACTGCTGATATTGACATTTCCAGGGCAAATTATACTCTGGGTTTTATTCATTTTTTAAGGGAAAAACTGACATATCCCTGATTCTATGTTGATAGGTAGCTTCTTGCAATCAACAACGTGAAGATTTTTAGTTATATCTTACTACAATGAATACATGCATCAATTAATAAAGTACGAAAGTCAATTATTACGAAATCGTTCTTCTTTCTCACTTTTTGAATAAGCCAGTCAAAAAGCATTTATAAAGAATGAATTCATATCTAGAATTTTGCTAGGTGCTATGGAGAGTAGAAAGTTCCACGACACAAAGCCCCTACTGACTAAAAACTTAGGATCTTTGCACAAAATATGTCACCCCACTTATTTTCAACTAGTCACCTCTGGCGTGGTTATTGTGATTAAAACTTTTGAATCAGATATTGCTTGATTGCATCTGTAGCAAGAAATGACAGTTATCAAACTTACAGAAATTAACTTCTGGGCAAAATTACCTGTGAACGATTGGATACATTTGATGTTTTCTTCCTAATTCTTAATTGAGTTTCTAGAGAACGTTATTCTGAAATATTCAGTGTTTCACAACTAACATAGTCTAGCAGCTTTTTCTTATTTCCTGCATATTTTAAAATTATATAAATGGTATGTATTTACGTTAGAAAAAAATAGAAAACACAGATTACCAAGAAAAATATATCTATGTCTATATCTACATCAAGAGGTAAGTATCTGTATTAGCTTCCCATGGCTGCCATAACAAAGTACCACAGATTAAGTGGTTCAAACAACAGAAGGTCATTTTCTCACAATTCTGAAGGCTAAAAGTCCAAGAGCAAGGCTTCAACAGGATTGGTTTCTCCTGAAGCCTCTCTCATTGGTTTGCAGATGGCCATCTTCTCCTTATGTTTTCATGCAGTCTTCCCTCAGTACTTGTGTGTTTCCTAATTTCTTCTTATAAGGACACTAGTCATTCTGAATTAGGGCCCTTCCATATGACCTCATTTTACCTTGATTACCCCTTTAAAGACTTCTAAAAAGATTGTTAAAAATATTTCCAGTACCTTTTTAAAGATAGGTCTCCAAATGCATAGTCATATTCTAGGTACTGGGGGTTAGGATTTCAATATATGAATTGTGGAGGAGTACAATTCAACCCATAATACCATCTATATGATATATATCATAGATGACTTTTAGATAGATGATAGATAGATAGAGCTATGTACACACATATATATCCTCTTCTCACCTAATATATAATTTTCATGTAAATATAAATAAAATATATAAAATATTTTAATGGTTAAATATTGAACAACTGTCTGGTTTAATATGATGCATTTACTCAGTCTCTCACTATTAATCATTTGAGTTGTTTCTAGTATTTTTTTATAATGTTATATAAACATGCCTACAATATATACCCTAACACAATTTCCTATTCATTTTCTTTTGATAAATGTCTAGTAGTCAACTTTCTTGCTGGAAGAATATGCTTTCTTTTTATACTTACTGAAAAATTTGCATCCATTTTCACTCTGATAAACATGAAATATGAGTGCCTGTTTACTCTAAACATGCCAGCTTAAAATTTTTATCATTCCTTTCTTCCCTGATAAACAAATGACAACTTACAGTATTTACATTTGTATTTATAGGAATTAATTTAATGGGAAGGGGGTGATGTCAACTGTTTCTTCATGCTTTATGACTATCTATACTTGCCTTTCATGAGTGCAGTTCTCATCTGCACCCTAGTGGGCTCCTACCACTGAAAACACTGGAAGCTGTTACTTTCTTCAAAAATCCACTCAGCAAAACATGAGTCATTTCAGTCAGCACCAGGGAAAGTTTTCTAAGTTAGTCTTTAACTTGAAGTCACTTTTCTTTCCTCATAGGCCCTCCCAGTGACAATTGTAAATTCTGTCTCATTCTTAAGATGTTGTACTCTGGGCAGACAAAGTGTCCTAAAACAAATCCAGCTATGGCTGTGGTTTAGTAAGTATTGGGTTATCCCGTAGTTTCAAAATTTTAATTATAGCTATTATTTTTAGATAGTAGCCTTTCTCTTGTGGTTTTCTGCATATAGACATTTGAAATATTTTCATTGAAATGTTTATATGCACCATTGATTGCATACGGTGAGGCTGTGTTTGATATTACAAAAATTCAGGTTAATGTGCCCAATAATGCAAAGTTTTAAATATTTAACTGTCAATTCTCCTTTTCTGCCCTACTCATTTTCCCACATTTTTCCATTTGCATTTTAAATGGAGATTTTTTTTCCTCAGATGCTTGAAAAAAATGTTATATAAATGATATTATAGCTAGTAAATTTCTCAGTGATGTTTTTGAAATAAAATAAAAATAATAGATTTCCTCAGAGACAAAACACTTCAGTTTCCAGACGGTTCTTGCTTTGTTTCTATCCCATGTTGAATTTATCTAGGTATTCTATGTGATCAATTTAAGTGTTCCAGACTGCTGACACCATATGCCTTATAAGAGTCTTTTTTCTAAACTATTTTTCATAGATTCTGAATGAGATCAATTATAAGCACATTAAACAAAGTGCAATATTTAAAAAAACAAAAGTGGGAGAGTACAAGATGATTCCTTTGCTTCTGAAAAACATTTAATTTTATTTGCCAAAGTATTCAGTTACTTTTCCAAGAATACCAATACCCTCATCACCATCATTGTCATCTCCTGCATTTACCACAGGTCAATGCTGCTGGGTATTAAAATTCTGCATGTTTCTGGCCAAGGTGTTTGAAGCAGTAAAGTTTCCCTTGCAATAAGTGGACAGTTTTTAGATAACACCTAAACATTTTCTAGGAGAATCATTTGTTCAACCTGTCTTTCTCTTATTTAAAAATTAATTGTTTTATCACATTTTACTCCCAGATACATGTCAATTTCGGTTCCCCTTTCTTACTTGTAGGTCTACATGTGGGTATGAACTGACAGATACAGCATGTTGAGTGCTCCTCCACCTGCAACGCCAATAAAAGTGCTAATTTCTGCTCAACATGAAGGAAGCATTCTTCAAACACTTGCCGAATATGTCTTTCATTCAACAGAGATAATTAGTTTCAGTTACTTAAGCTGAGCAACTATTTTGCTTCAAAGAGGATATTATGTTTGCTTAATTGCATTTAAGTGCTAAACACTGTAAAGGATAAAGTTTCCAGAGAAGGGATTATTTTCCTCCTAACAGTTTAGAGGATGACTTATAAAACAAGGGTTAGGAGAAATGTGCAACTAGTTACACAATGATAGATAATTTCTGATTTTTGGTATGAACAATACTTATCTTCCAAACATCAAAAATTCCATGTCCATTTAATCAAGCTGGATCTTTAATCCCATGGATTCAATAAGCAAAAGAAACACAAAGTTAATTTCTCAGTCCAAAATGAATAAGCAAAATGACAACAATAATCCCATGCAAAAAACAGTCACACAAAACTATTCTGTCTGATCATTTAGATGGATTCATCCTATCATTTTACAGTCCTCAGGTCTTAAGACACATATCCTAACAAATCATCCTTAATAAGAGTGGTGCTGTTTCATTAGACCAAAAATGAATTACCAAAGAATAAATAAATAAAAATAAAACCAATTATTTTTGTTTTAAGTTTGAGCTAAAAAGATAGTAAACCAACCAATGGCTAGAACTTGATAATATCAATTCTTCATCCCCTAAAACTGCTTCCCTTAGGTATAGGAAGCTTTATTTCTGACTCCAAATAAAGTGAAGGCAAGAAACGTACCAAGTTTAAAATTCTCTGTCAACGGCTGTTTTACTAATTATCCAGATTCCAAGGCAATCATACAACCGTAATCATTCACCTCACGCCTGGAAACATAAGTCTTGTTCTTTTGATGAATATTTATAAGACAGTGTAAAGCAGTCTACTTTCTTTTCCCTTCAGGCAAGACAATTTGGAGTTCATCAATATGTATTACCAAGGACTTTTATAAAAGGCACTTCAAAGAAAATTCATCAGGCATTCCTTTTGTCTTGATTTCTGTTAGACTGATACTTCCTTTTGACAAGTATCAATAAATTATCCTCTGATGGCTAGAAACTTGATGTCTTATTCAGAAACTTCCTCACACAGCAAAATCTTGGCTTTGAGTTTCAAGTGAAATTATTAAGATACTGAATCTAATTTAAGGACAGACAGAAGATACGCAAATTAAAAACAATAAAACAAACCTATATATAGTCACCCTACAGCACACAGGATGGAGTTTTCCCATAGTTGAGAGTTTCTTGCTGCATACAACTTGCCACTTTACTATGTGCCATGTGAACATATTTACAATCTCCTCACAAGTAAAAAAAAAAAAAAATGCAAGCCCCAGACCCTGGATAAATAGAAGAACCATGCCAAATTAAAACCAGATTAATGTAGATACGGAAAGTGGAGAATGACAAGCTGTCTCCTTCCATAAGGCTGATTAGTTTTCCTTTTTGAATATTATTGGTTAGACTAACATTTCCATAAGAGGAGAATTCAAAAATGCAATTGTCTAAAATAAGAATGAAAAAAAAATCACTGCTATATTTAATATGCCTTGTAAAAGAATACTGAAACTCTTTATTTGCACACTTTCTCTAAAATAAAACTTAGTTATTTTGTTTTATTATTCTGGCAAAAGTACTGAAATATAGAAATATTATTAATATCTATTTCTATAAATATACACATAAAACAGCATGTCGACTAAAGAGTCTATCTCATTTTACAGCTTTACTCACTCTTTACAAAATTATTCTGCCAATTATAATAATATCTACATGTTCTAAGAAGTTGTTTTGTCTTTACCTAGTGTAATATAAAAGAAAATATAACGTGTAATTTAAGCTCAATGTTATAAAAAGACATGAAAGGAGAAAAAGGGTAGTATTTTAGCTTGAATGCATGCTTTACAAACCCATTGTAATATTAATCACAGAGCCATTCTATTCAAGTTCATATATACCACAAAAACATATATGTCATTTGTGAAAATATAATTCACTATAAATAACCAATTGACAATATAGGGTTTATTTTACTGAAATAAGAAAAAAAGTAAAGATTACATGCACAGTGCTTGTGGCACAGGAAATTCTGTATTTTCTGAGTCCCTAAGAAGCTAGGATATGTCACTCAATGGTTTCACAAAGCTTTTATAAAAGTATTATGTGAAAATATTTTAAATATTTTTTTAAGAAAGGTAATGATGATCATGATGAAGTCTGAGCTGTGTTTTCTATTTTGCAACACAAATACATCATGCAAATGCTGCTACATTCTTGATATAATGATTATTAATTTCTACAAGTAAAAAATAGAGGGGACAGATCAATTATTTCTGACCATATTCCTTATATCTTCCCATGCACTCAGTTTAAAATAAAATCTACCCCTAGAGGCTCCATTATTTATTTATTTTTATATAAGAAATTATTCCCAGTTGTAATGGCTTAAACAATAAACATTTATTTCCTCACTATATCCATGGGTTGGGAAAACAGAAAAGCTTATTTGGACAGCTCTGGTTCAGGATCTCCCATGAAACTGCAATGTAGGTGTTGGCTGGTATTGCAATCATTTGAACATTTGACTGAGTTTGGTAAAACTGCTTCCAAGCTCACTCACATGGATGTTGTCAGGTGACATGAGTTCCTCCCAGGCCATTGCCTGGAGATCTGTTTCTTACCTCATGGTCCTCTCCACTGAGCTGCCTAAGTGTCCTTATGCAGCTGGCTTTCTCCAGGGTGAGTGAACCTAGAGAGAGCAAGGTGGAAACCACACTGCCTTTTATAAGCTAGTCTTGGAGTCACACACTGTCACTTTCCTCATATTCTATCCACTAGAATAGAATCAAGGCACTAAGTTCAACTCATTCTTAGGGGGAGGGGAATTATATTACACCTTTTATGGGATTATTATCAAAGATTTTTTGGCACAGTTTTAAATTCCACAAGCCTGCTTATTGTATGTGAATATGGTCTCACAATTGCAGGTCAAGACAGTATCCACATGACATGAAAATGCACAACACATTCAAATTTTATCCGCTAGGCAGATTTGCTTTCTTTTTCCTCAAATTAGTCGTAACAGTATTAGAAAACTGTAAAAGGATAATTAAATACTACATGCATTTGATATACGGCATTTCTGTATATAAAACACTTTTATTCACGTATTTATTCATCTGTTCCTTAAATATATATAAAAAAGAAGATGCATGGGAATATTATTCCTGTGTTTTTGTTGGTCTGAATATACTGATTCTCCACCTTTTGGCTTAGATCAAGTGTGGCTAGGTAGACAAATGAATGTTAAATGCCCTTTACCCTTCAGGAAAAGATAGTAAAGAGTAATGGCAAGTTTGGGAAATACAGCAGTATAAGAAACCATTTAAAAAATTCTGGCTGGCCTCATGCATAAGAAATTCTGAAGGAAGGCTAGAGATGGAAGACCAATTTAGAGGTAGTGAAATAATTTAGGTAACAGACTACAAGAATTAAAATTGGTAGTGGTGGTTATGGAAGAGGAAGAAAAGGAAATTGATTTAAGAAATATGATGAAGAAAAGCATCACAATTATCCCTCACTTAAGAAAAATTTGCAGTATATATTTCCTGATTGGTGCTTTAGAAAAATTTCCATATCCATTTCACAGCTAAAGAACCCTCTTTTGCAATAATGAAGTGAAAACAATCTAATTCAAAATCTATGCTTGAGTATTCAATTGACTTATGGCCTCTGGTGAAAAATGAACAACCATGCCAATGCTTACACAAACAGAGGGAGTGTGAAAGAATAAGATAAAGTAAGAAATAATTATAATCAGAGTATTCACATCATTGTCATCACATATAGTTAAGTTAGTTAAATACAATGTAATTTTTATCTAAACTTTTCTGAAGGGACAAATGGTACCAAACTATTAGCTAGACTTTGTTTTTGTGGTGGTGTTATAGTAGTAGCCTTATTGTTGTATATTTTCCAGCATATCATCTGATACCTTTGGAATAAATTAAAATAGAAGAAAATACATGTATAGAGTAATTTGGAGGAAAAGGAGTTTTGGAGTTTGACACACTTAAATTATTATCTTGACTCCATCACTACCTAGGTTTATGATCTTTGACATGTTACTTAAAGTTCCCCAACCACAATTTCTTTAAAGACAATAATTGGAACTCACACAATGACTAAGAGTATTGTTATTTATGTGATTACTCTAAGGACAGTGCCCAACTGTAAGGTCTAATAAATATTTATGATTCACCTTACTTTATAGATAATATTATTAATTAGGTGTGATTTGATATATGGAACTAGTTGAGTTGAACTGCGGAGGGGAGCTGTGCGAATATTCCCCTGAGGCTAGGATGTTAGGGATCCTGGAGAGGTGACAGCAAAACAGTCTTCTGCTAATTGTCTTTTTGGATTCACATCACATATTCACTGACATTGGAGCCCTGTTAGCAAAAGACCAGGATATTCAAATACATCTGGTGCCTTGCAAACTGCCATCACTTCAAGCTAGACCTTCTGAAAGCAGATGGGAAAATGATCAGAGACACTAATAATTTAGTCTATAGGAATTTTTTCCGCCATTAGCCAGGGTTCTGAACCTTCTGAGTGTCTTGATGATTTCCAGAGAAAAGATCTTGGAAGGCCTTAATCCCAGTAAAAATGTTGGACAAGATCTCATAGATACTGGAATTTACTTAAATGGTTTGAGGCTGGGGAGTCATATGGTCAGCAGGGGCCTGCTGCAGTATGACTGATGCAATTGGCTGAACGTGAGTGACTCACAAGTAAGTTAAACAGCAGAATTAGTTATGGTGCCACTAATAGGAGACAAAAATGAACAGCACTCTGTATTTTGAGACTGGATTTCTGGAAGAAAGGTGGTATTATTGACATAAATAAAGGAGCTCAGATGAGGAGAGATTATGTTTAAAAATTATGTTTGTTTATAAAATATTTATTTTGTAGAAAAGATGGTGGACAGTCAACTCTCAAAGGAGCTTGGGTTTATCAGAAAATATCTTAGTAATCAATTACAGGACAGAAGGACTTTTACCAAGAAAAATTTCTTATATAAACTCATAATTGTTTTTAATCATAAAATAAGTCACATATATTTTTATTTAAATGCTAATGGATCAAATTCTAACATTATTCAATAATTATTATTCTTTATTTTGTTTATAGCCAAAGGAAGATTAGACTTTTTTACCTTTGGATCACATATATCACATTTAATTTTTTAGGTATATTGACAGCTGCATAATCCTTAAGCATATAATGCATTAGGTCAGGGTGTTAAATATGATTTTGAAAGCAGTAATATTATACAATATTATTTTTGAGATGTCAAAAAAATTAAAATGATCACATAAATGCTTTTTGTAGTATCTAAAAATAAAACCACACGGGCTTTCACAGGATGAATAAAATTCATTACATATTTTTAATAAAAAGCACTTCTATTATTTTATCAATTTTTCTTGTTAACAAATAATTGTATTGGCACTTTCTGACATGTTATATTTATAAAAAGTCAGTATGCTTTAATAATTGAATTATGATTATAGATTTCTAAATGCCAATTATCATTTTAATATTTCATTTCTAATGAATATTAAGTCATTATAATAAGACTAAGTATTCCATCGATGTGTTATTTTGAACATGATTATCACTGAATAGTTAATTTTTTAATTTAGCTTTCTTTTTAAAATTTCAACTTTTATTTTAGATTCAAGGGGTATTGTTTATTACATGAGTATATTGTGTGATGCTAAAGTTTTGTTACATGAATATATTGTATGATGTTGAGGTTTGGGGTATAAATGATTCCGTCACCAGGTAGTGAGACTAGCACCCAATAGTTTTGTGACCTTTGCTTCACTTTGTTCCTTCTCTAGTAGCTTCCAGTGTCTATTCTTGCCATACTTCTGTCCATGTGTACCTGTTTTAGGCCATTCTTGAGTTGCTACAAAGAAATATCTGAGTCTGGGTAATTGATAAAGAAAAGAGGTTAAATTGGATTACAGTTCTGCAGGCCATATAAGCATGGCACCAGCATCTGCTCAGCTTCTGGTGAGGGCCTCAAAAAGCTTACAATCATGGCAGAAAGTGAAGTGGGAGCAGGAAAATCATGTGGTGAAAGCAGGAGCGAGAGAGAGAGAGAGAGAGAGAAACAGAGTTAGAGAGAGAGAGAGAAACAGAGTTAGAGAGAGAGAGAGAGAGAGAGAGAGAGTAGGGGAGGTGCCACACACTTTAAACAATCAGATCTAACAAGAACTCAACAGCGCAAGAACAGCACCAAGTCTTAAAGGATCTGCCCACATGACCAAAACATCTCCCACCTCGAAAATTGGGATTACATTTCAACTTGATATTTGGGTGATATGATATGATATGATTTGGGTGGGGACAAATATCTAAATATCCAAACTATTTATTCCACCCCTGGCTCCCCAAATCTCGTGTCCTTCTCACATTACAAAATACAATTATGCTTTCCCAATAGTCCCCCAAAGACTTAATTTATTCAAACATTAACTCAAAAGTCTAAACTCCAAAATCTCACCTGAGATAAGGCAAGTCCCTTTCACCCATGAGCCAGTAAAATCAAAACAAGTTATTTACTTCTAAGATACAATGGGGATATAGGCATTAGGTAAACATTCCCATTCCCAAATGAAGAAATCAGCCAAAAGAAAGAGGCTACAGGCCCCATGCAAATCTGAAACACAGCAGGGCAGTCATTAAATCATAAAGCTCCAAAATAACCTCCTTTGACTCCATGTTCCACATCCAAGATACACTGCTGCAAAGAGTGGGCTCCCAAGGCTTTGGGTAGCTCCACCCCTGCAGCTTCATAGAGTCCCCGAGGGTGATCTCACAGGCTGGAGTTTTCTGTTCCTGTGTTAATTCACTCAGGATAATGGCCTCTAGCTGCATACATGTTGCTGCAAAGAACATAATTTTGTTATTTTTTATAGCTATGAAGTATTCCATGGTGTATATGTACCACTTTTTTAAAAAAAATCTAATACACAATTGATGAGCACCAAGATTTATTCCATGTCTTTCTTACTGGGAATAGTACTGTAATAAACACACAAGTGTATGCATCTTTTTAATAAAATAATGTATTTTCTTATACCCAGTAGTAGGATTGCTAAGTCAAATGGTAGTTCTGTGTTAAGTTCCTTGAGAAATCTCCAAACTGCTTTCCACAGTGACTGAACTAATTTACATTCCCACCAACAATACATAAGCATTCCTTTCTATGCACAACCTTGCCAGCATCTCTTGTTTTCTGACTTTTTTTTTTTAATTAAAAAGCCATTGTGATGAGTGTGAGATGTTATCACATTGTGGTTTTGATTTGCCTTTCTCTGATGATTAGTGATGTTAGGCATTTTTATATGTTTATTGGCTGGTTGTATGTCTTCTTTTGAGAAGTGTCTGTTCATATATTTTGCCTACTTTTTAATGGGATTATTTGGAGTTTTTTTGCTTGTTGAATTATTTAAGTCCTTTATAGATTCTAGATATTAGACCTTTGTCAGATGCCTAGTTTTCAAATATTTTCTCTCATTCTGTAGATTGTCTGTTTATTTGTTGATAGTCTATTTTGCTGTTGAAAAGAAACTATCTTTGCTGAAGCTCTTTGGCTCTCAGTTTAAGTAGATCCTACTTGTCAAATTTCGTTTTGCTGCAATTGCTTTTAAGGACTTAGTCATAAATTTCTTACCAATGCTGGTATCCAGAATGGTGCTTCTTAGGTTTTCTTCTAAGATTTTTATAATTTGTAGTCATACATTTAAATTGTTCATCAATTTTGGGTTCATTTTTGTATATGATGAAAGGTAGGGTTTGAGTTTCATTCTTCTGTATATGGCTAGCCAGCTATCCCAGCACCATGTATTGAAGAGAGAGTCCTTTTCACATTTATTATTTTGTCAATGCTGTGGAAGATCAGAGGGCTGTAGGTGGGTGGCTTTATTTCTGGGTTCTCTACTCTTGGGGCTTCCAACCCTTAGGCCACAGACCAGGGGGAAGGAGGTGAGCAGTGGGTGAGCCAGCGAAGTTTCTTCTGTATTTACAGGACTTTCCCATCACTTGCATTCCTGCCTGAGCTCTGCCTCCTGTCAGACCAGCGGCAGCATTAGATTCTCATAGGAGCTTGAACCCTATTGTGAACTCCACATGCAAGGGATCTAAGTTGCAAGCTCCTCATAAGAATGTTATGCCTGATGATTTGAGGTGGAACAGTTTCATCCAGAAACCATCTCCCACTCCCAACCCTGGTCCGTGGAAAAAGTGTCTTCCTTGAAACTGGTCCCTGGTGCCAAAAACTTTGGGGACTACTGCTCTACTCTGTTCCATTGATCTATATGTCTGTTTTTATAACAGTACCACGCTTTTTTGATCATTGTAACCTTATAGTATAGTTTGAACTGAGGTAATATAATGCCTGTAGGTTTGTTCTTTTTGCTTAGAATTGGTTTGACTATTTGGGATATTTTGTGGTTTCATATGAATTTTATAATAATATTTTCTAATTTTGTAAAAAATGCCATTAGTAGTTTGATAGAAATAGTGTCGAATCAGCAGATTATTTGGACAATATGGCCATTTCAACAATATTGATTCTTCCAATCCATAAGCATAGAACATCTTTCCGTTTGTTTGTGTTATCTATGATTTTTTTCATCAGTATTTTGTAGTTTTCCTTATACACATTTTTTACATCTTTGATTAGGTGTATTGCTAGGTACTTTTTGTGGTTATTGTAAATGGGATTGTATTTTTAATTCAATTTTGGAACTCAATATTGGTCTGTTCAAGGCTTATTCCTGATTCAATCTTGGGAGGTTGTACATTGCCTGGAATGTATTCATTTCCTCTAGATTTTCTAGTTTGTGTACACAGAGGTGTTCATAATAGTCTCTGAGGACCTCTTGTATTTCCGTGGGTCAGTTGTAACGTCACCTTAGTCACTACTGGCTGTGCTTATTTGGATCTTCTGTTTCTTTGTTAATCTAGACAGTGATGTATCAATCTTTATCCTATCAAGTAACCAACTTTTGGTTTCATCGATTCTTTGTATGGATTTTTGGGTCTCAATTTTATTCATTTCTGCTCTGAATTTAGTTATTTCTTTTCTTCTGCTGGCTTTGGGATTATTTGCTTCTTGTTTCTGTAGTTCCCTATGTATGATGTTCAATTATTAGTTTGAAATCTCTCTATCTTTCTGAGGTAGGTGTTTGGCACTACAAAGTTTCCTCTTAACACTACTTTTGCTGTAGCTCAGAGATTTTTATATATTGTTTCTGTTTTCATTTGTTTTAAATAATTTGTTGATTCTTGCCTTAATTTCATTGTTTATCCAAAAGTCATCCAAGAGCAAGTTGTTTAATTTTCATGTAATTGCATGGTTTTGGGAGACATTCTTAATATTGATTACTATTTTCATTCCACTATGGTCTGAGAATATGGTTGATATGATTTCAACTTTTTGAATTTACTGGGACTTGCTTTATAGCCAAGCATGTGGTCAGTCTTGGAGTAGGTTCTATGTGCAGATGAGAAGAATTTATATTCTGTCATTGATGAGGGAAATATTCTGTATACATCTATTAGGTCCAATTGGTGAAGTGTTGAATTCAAGTCCAGAATTTATTTGTTAATTTTCTGCCTTGATGATCTGTCTAATGCTGTCAGTGTGGTGCTAAAGACCACCATTATTATTTTATAACTAAGTCTTTTTGTAGGTTGATAAGTAGTTGTTTTATCAATCTGGTTGCTCCAATGTTGGCTGTGTATATATATGGTATAGTTATATCTTCTTGTTGAATTAAACACTTTATTATTATGTAATGCTCTTCTTTTCCTTTTTTACTTTGTCCTTTTTTACCCTTGTTGATTTAAATCCTTTTTCATCTGATATAAAAGTAGTGACACCTGCTATTTTTAATTTTCTGTTTGTGTGATAGATCTTCCTCCAACCCGTTATTTTAATACTAATTGTCATTTTGTGTGAGATGGGTCTTTTGAATACAGCAAAAAGATAGATCTCCTTTCTTTATCCAACTTACAACTCTGTGTCTTTTAAGTGTAGCATTTAGACCATTTACATTCAAGGTTATTATTGAAATGTAAGGTTTTAATCATATTACAAGATGTTACCTGGTTGCTTTGCAGTTTCTATCATGTGATTGCTCTGTAGGGTCTGTAGCCTATGTACTTAAGTATGCTTTCATGCTATCAGGTACTGTTCTTTTGTTTCCATGTTAAAACTTCCTTAAAGATGTCTTGTAACGTTGGCCTAAGGGTAAGGATTTCCCCTAATGCTTGCTTGTTGGGAAATATTTTATTTCTGTTTTGCTTCTGAAGCTTAGTTTGGCAGGATATAAAATTCTTGATTGGAATTTTTTTTTCTTTAGGAATGCTGAAAATATCCTCCCAGTCTCTCCTGGCTTGTAAGGTTTCTGTTGAGAAGTCTGATGTTAGCATGATTTAGTTCCCTTTGTATGTCATATGGCCTTTTTCTGCCTTTAAGATTTTTTCTTTAGCATTGACCTTGGACAGTCTGGTGACTATATGTCTTGGCACAAGTGTTTTCTGGATTTCTTATATCTGAATGTCTATCTCTCTAGCAAGATTAGGGAACTTTTATTCAATTATTCTCTCAAATATGTTTTTTAGATTGTTTACTTTTTTGCCTTCTCTCTCGGGAATGTCAGTAATTCATAGATTTGGTCTCATCTAATCTCATATTTCTCAAAGACTTTGTTCATTTCTTAAATTCCTTTTGGTTTATTTTTGTCTGACTGAGTTAGTTTAAAAGACTGTTTGGATTTTTTGTGTGTTGACTTTCAGCCTTGCTTGGATATTATTGCGTTTCTTTGTAATCCATGCTTGGAATTCTTTATCTGCTATTTTTGAGTTTTCTTTTTGGTTAGGGATCATTGATGAACAGCTAGTGTAATACTTTGCTGGTGTCACTACCTTCACATTTTTCACGGTGCCATATTCTTGTGCTGATTTCTTATCATCTGGGGATGTGAGTAATTTTAATGGTTGTAATTATTTTCAGATGGATAGAATTTTTTTCTTTTTTTTTTCCCTGTAATATTTGTGTGTGTCTTTTTTTTTTTTTTTTTTTTTTTTTTTTGAGATGGAGTCTCACTCTGTCACCCGGACTGGCTGGAATGCAGTGGCACGCACGATTCTGGCTCCCTGCAACCTCCACCTCTTGGGTTCAAGCAATTCTCCTGCCTCAGCCTCCTGGGTATCTGGGATTACAGGCGCCCACCACTATGCCCAGCTAATTTTTTTGTATTTTTAGTAGAGACGCGGTTTCACCACATTGGCCCGGCTGGTCTCAAACTCCTGAACCCGTGATTCATCCGCCTCAGCCTTCCAAAGTGCTGGGGCCCGGCCCATGTGTGTTTTTCTTTACCTTTCCTTCCCCCACCTCCCTAGGGGATGTGAATGTAGAGAATGTTGGGTAGGGTCTTTTAGGCTTTGCTTCTAAAGTCCTATGCAATTTTTCAGTGGGTTTTGTAATGGGCTCTGCAGTTTGACCTATAATACAATAGATGGCTCTTTTGGGTAAGAGCTGGCTTTGGCCAATGTGACTGAGTATATATTTGACCATTGTTTACCAGGAGATGTTCTCTGTTGCCTTAGTCAATGGGCTGATCTGTGGAGGTCACAGTGGTCTGAGTTCCCTGCTCCTCCCCAGAGAGGTGGAGGGCAGAGATGGATAGGGCCAACCAGGCTGGCCCACCTACAAGTCCCCTGATGTCAGGTATGAGCACCAGCACTGAGGGAGAATCCAGTAGGTTATAACCAAGTGCCCAGCAGTGTACCTAAGCATAGAGCTGGGAAACCTCTTTGGACCCAAGTTCTCTGCCAGAGGAAGTGGGGACAGTCTAAACTTCTAATCTGAGAGAGTGGATGATCTACATACCTGGAGGTATGTCTGGGTGTAGGGTAGAGAGGGCCCTACTTTACCATGGTCTCTGTATAGTAAGGGAGGGCCATCTCAGACTGCTAATTCAGGCAAGAAAATTCTCTGAATGCTTGGAAATATCCCTGGGTGTGGAATAGAGCAGGCAGTGCTGCACCATAATCTCTGAGCAGGAAGGGTGGGGCAGCTCAGTCTACCAAGCGGTTGCTACCAATACCTGGAGTTCTGCCTGGGCATGGAGCAGAAAGGGGTCCAGATATAGTTAGGATCTCTGTCCCCACTAATATTTTATGTCAAATTATAATCCCCAGCGTTGGTGGTTGGGCCTGATGGGAGGTGATTGGATTGTGGGGGTGGTTTCTAATGACTTAGCACCATCCCCTTTGGTCACCACAGTGGATGAGTTTTTGTGAGACCTGGTTGTTTAAAAGTGTGTGGCAGCTCTCTCTATTCTTTCTTCCTCCTGCTCCAGCCATGTGAAGATTCCTGTTCTGGCTTTCCCTTCCACCATGAGTAAAAGCTCTCTGAGGCCTTTGCAGCCATGCTTCCTGTACATTCTACAGAACTGTGAGCCAATTAAACCTCTTATTTTAAATAAATTAACCAGTCTCAGTTACTTCTTCACAGAAATGCCAAAATGAACTAATACAGAAAATTGGTACTGAGGTGTGGGGCACTGCTATAAAGACACCTGAAAATGAGGAAGTGACTTTGAAACTGGATAATAGGCAGAGGTTGGAACAGTGTGGAAGACTTAGAAGAAGACAGGAAAACGAGGGAAAATTTGAAACTTCCTGGAGAGTTGTTAAATTGTTGTGACCAAAATGCTGATAGTGATATGGACAACGAAGTCCAGACTGAGGAAGCCTCAGATGGAAATTACAGACTTACTGGGAATTAGAGCAAAGGTCACTTTTGTTATGTGTTAGCAAAGAATTCTGTGGCATTGTGCCCTAGGAGTCTGTGGAATTTTGAACTTGAGAATGATAATTTAGGATATCTGACAGAAGAAATTTCTAAGCAGCAAAGTATTCGAGAAGTGTCCTGGCTGCTTCTAACAACCTATGCTTCTATGCATGAGCAAAGAAATTATCTGAAAGTAGAACATATATTTAAAAGGGAAGAAGAGTGTACAAAAGTTTGGAAAATTTGCAGCCTGGCTATGCAGTAAAAAAGAAAATCTAATTTTCTGGAGAGGAATTTAAACATCTGTAGAGATTTGCACAAGCCTAAAGGAGCCAAGTGCCAATAGCCAAGACAATGAAAAAAAAAAAAGGCCTCCAAGGCATTTCTGAGATCTTCACAGCAGCCCCTCCTATCACAGGCCCAGAGGCCTTGGAGGAAAGAATAATTCTGTGGGCCAGGCCCAGGGTCCCACTACCCTGTGGGGCCTGGGGACACTGCTCCTTGAGACTCAACCACTCCACTCCCACCTGTGGCTCGATCGGGCCCAGGTACAGCTTGAGCTACTGCTTCAGAGGGTGCAAACTGTAAGCCTTGGCAGCTTCCAGGTGGTGTTAAACCTGTGGGTGCACGGAGTGCAAGAGTTGAGGCTTGAGAGCCTCCACCTAGATTTCAGAGCTTGTATGAAAAATCTTGGATATCTAGGCAAAAACCTAATGCAGGGATGGAGCCCTTAAGGAGAACCTCTACTATGGCAACGTGGAAGGGAAATGTGGGGTTGGAGCTTCCACACAGAATCCCCACTAAGGCACTGCCTAGCGAAGCTGTGAGAAAAGGGCCACTGTCCTTCAGACCCCAGAATGGTATATCCACCAGCAGCTTAGATCCTCAGCCTGACAGAGCCATTGGCACTGAATGCCAGCCCATGAGAGCAACTGTAGGGGCTAAACCCTGCAAAGTCAACAGGGGCTGAGCTGCCCAAGGCTCTGGAAGCTCACCCTTTGCATGGAGTCAAAGATTATTTTGACTCTTTAAGGTCCCAGCACTTTGGGAGGCTGAGGTGGGCCCATCATGAGGTCAGGAGTTTGAGACCAGCCTGGCCAACATAATGAAATCCTGTCTTTACTAAAACTACAAAAAATTAACCAGGCATGGTGGTGCATGCCTGTAATCCCAGCTAGTCAGGAGGCTGAGGCAGGAGAATCACTTGAACCTGGGAGCCAGAGGTTGCAGTGACCCGAGATTGCACCACTGCACTGCAGCCTGGAAGACAGTGTGAGACTCTGCCTCAAAAAAAAAAAATAAATAAATAAAAAAGACTTCATAACTGTCCTGCTGGATTCAGACTTGCATGGGGCCTGTAGCCTCTTTCTTTTGGCTGATTTCTCTCTTTTGGTATGAGAGTATTAACTCAATGCCTATACTCCCATTGTTTCTCGGAAGTAACTAATTTGGTTTTTTGTTTGTTTTTATTTTACAGGCTCATGGGCAGAAGGGACTAGCCTTGCCTCAGATGAGACTCGGGACTTTGAACCTTTGAGTTAATGCTGGAATGAGTTAAGACTTTGAAGGACTCTTGGGAATTCATGATTGTATTCTGAAATGTGAGAAGAACATAATATTTGGAAGGGGTAAGGGGAGGAATGATCTAGTTTGGATCTTTTTCCCCACCCAAATCCCATGTTGAATTGTAATCATTAAAGTTGATCTGAGGTGTCCTTCATGATTCCAGTGGTTTCCCATTTTGCCTCTTAAATTAAATCTCACAGGGTTGATCTTGCTATTTCAAAGAAGCTGCCATCTTGGAAAAAAAAATGAATAGTTAGTAAAGAATTCTTCTTATTGGGCAACTTGGACTTCAGAGTTGCTAATTTAACATGTTTTCAAACATAAAGCCATTTTAGATATTCAAATTGCTTCATTTTAATATGAATTTATCAGTTATAATTTTATAGCTCCATTATTTCTTAATGTCAAAACATTATCAGTGCAAAATAGAATTCATAATATGATTTTTTCAAAATTTCTATTGTTTAGAACAGATAAAAATTTACTATTAGTTACTAAATCATTTGCCATTAGAGAAATTTATAGTTGTTTCATCATTACAGATGAGAAAAAGAGGCCATCCATGACCCTCCCCACAATACAGTAGACCTGAACAAGATGTTGACCCTGTACATTGAAGATAACAGCAACCAGTGTATACACATGTTAAACTTCATCACAACCAAAACAATGAGTGTATTCATCATCCAGAAGTTTCCTCAAGCCCCTTTGTAATCCTTCACCCTTGCCTCTCATTGTGTCATTCTCGATGCCCAGGTAAAAACTGATCTGCTTTCTGACACCATTGCTTAGTTTTCATTTTCAAGAACTACATCTATGTCAAGTCATACAGTATACATTATGCTTATCTTTTTAAAACTAGTATGATTATGTTGTTGTATTAGCAGTTCATTCATTTACATTGTTGAGTAATGTTCTTCTGCATGGATATACCACAGTTTCTTTATATGTTCACCTGTTTAAGGACATTTGATTGTTTTCAGTCTTGGGTTAATGCAAATATAGCCATTCTGCACATTTTTGTATAAGTCTTTGTATAGACATATGCTTACATTTTTTTTGAGTAAATACCTAGGAGTGGAGTGTCTGAATCATATAGTAGGCGTATGTGTAACATATAAGTAACATTGTAAAACTGTTTTCCAAAGTGCTCCTGCCATTTTGCATAAAAATCAAAAGAATAAGAGTGTTCTGCTTTGTCTACATTATTGCTAATATTTGGTATGGTCAGTATTTCTGACCCATTCTATTTTGTGTGTATTGGTATCTAATTTTTGTAATTGATGACTTCCCTAATGACAAGTGATGTTGTTTTTCAATTTCTATAAAATTTTGTATAGAATTGATATTATTTCTCCTTAAGTTTTTGGTAAAATACCCCAGTGAAGCCATATAGGTCGGGAGGCTTTCTTTGTTGTTATTTGTTTGTTTTGTTCTGTTTTCTTATTGTTTTTTTTTTAATTGGAAGGTCTTTAAATTCAATGTCTTTAATAGAAAAAGGACTATTCAGGTTATCTCTATTTCGTGTTGAAAAAACTTTGTTAGTATTGCTTTAAAAAATTTTGCCCATTTTATCTACATTTTATTAGTAGTATAAAATTGTCCATAACATTTCTCTATTGACTTTTCAATATCTATAGATTTTGTCATAATCCCATCATTCTCATTGTTTGATAATCTGCTTTATTTTTTCCTGATAAATGTAGATATATGTTATTAAATAAATTAACTTTCTCGAAGATCCAGGTTTTGATTTTATTTATTCTTCTCTGTGCTTTTTTTTTCTGTTTCTACTTTATTTACTTTTATTCAGATCTTTATTTTTTCCCTTTGTCTATTTTTTCATCCTAATTTTTTTAAGATGGAAGTGGATGTCATTTGGGCCTTTGTTATTTCCTAATACAGAATTTAGTGTCAAAAATTTTTCTCTATGTACTGCTTTAGTTTCCAATAAATTCTGATATGTTGTAACTTCATTTTCATTCACTTCGGAATCTTTTGGATTTCACTTTTGACTTATTATTTGATCCACAGGTGATTTAAAAGTATATTGTTTTCTTTCCATATATGTTGGGATTTGCCAAATATCTTTCTGTTATCAATTTCCCATTTAGCTCCATTTTAGTGAGACAACATACTCTGTATAACTTAAATCCTTTTAAATTTACTGAGGCTTGTTTTATGGTCAATGTTAGTAAATATTCCATGTGCACTTCTACACAACATAAATCTTGTCATTTTGGGTTAGAGTATTCTAAAATCATTGATTATGTCAATTTTAGTGATAGTGTTGTTCATGTGTTCTATATCCGCCATGATTTTCTTTTTACTCTACTATTAATTATTGAGAAGAGAATATTAAAACTTTTACTATAATTATGGAATTATCTATTTCTCCTTATAGTTCTACCAATTTTCTCTTTATATATTTTAAAACTATACTATTAGTTGCAGAAACATTTAGGATTGTTATGCCATCTTCATAAACTGATGCTTTTACAATTATGAAATGATGTTCTATATCCTGAGTGATATTATTTTCTCTAGCATCTACTTTGGGGATAAAACACTAATACAGTGACTCCGGCTTTCTTTGGATTAATGTAATCATAGTATAACTGTTTACATCCTTTTACTTTCAACTTATTTATGTCTTTATATTTAAAATGAGTTTCTTATTAGCGACATATGATCAGGTTTTGTTTTTAAATCCAGCTAACAATTTTTGTCTTTTCATTATTTATTTACTTTTTATTATTTTATTATTATTTTTGAGACAGAGTGTCACTCTGTTACCCACGATGGAGCTCAAGTGGTACGATCGTGACATATTCCACCTTCAACCTCCCACCAGGCTCAAGCAGTCCTCCCACCTAAGTCTCCCAAGTAACTGGGACTACAGGAATGCCTTATCACACCTGGCTAATATTTTTTTCTCTTTTGTAGAGATGATGTCCCACTATGTTTCCCAGCTGGTCTCTAACTCTTGGGCTCAAGCGATCTTCCTTTCTTTGCCTCCCAAAATGCTGGGATTATAGGCATGGGCCAGCATGCTCAGCCAATTTCTGCCTTTTAACTTGGACATTTAGACCATTTTACACTTAATGTTATTGTTGATATTTTAAGATTGTCACTCATCTTGCTATTTTTACATTTTTGTCTTCTCTTTTTTCCTCTTTTTCTACTTTCATTTGGATTGAATTTGTGTGTGTGTGTGTGTATAATTTCATTTTATCTCCATTGTTTATTAACAATATTTCTTTTTTTAATTTTACTGACTGACTTAGGATTTGTAGTATAGATCTTTAATTTATAATTTTTCCTTTATATTGTCCATGTTTCATTTTGGATAGTTTCTATTACTACATCTTTAAATTTACTAATCTTTTCTTTTGCAATGTTTAATCTACTGTTAATCTCATCAGGTATATGTTTCATGCCCATATTATAATTCTCATATTTATAAGTTTAATTTGGTTAGAGTATTCTAAAATCATTGATTATAGATTCAATGATTTTAAATCAAGATTACTTTGTATCTTACATGTCTCTGCTAAACTTTTTAAACAAGTGGAATAAAATTACAATAACTGCTGCATATCCTTGTCTATTAATTCAAAGGTGTGAGTCAGTTCTCGGTTAGTTTTGATTGATCAATTTTTCTCTTCACTATGGCTTATACTTTCCTGTTTCTTTGCATACCTGGTAATTTTTATTAGATGTCAACGATTGTAAATTCTCTTTTGTTCAGTGCTAGATATTTTTATATTACTATAAATATGTTTGACCTTTGTTCTGGGAAAGAGTTTAGTTACTTGAAAATTGTTTGACATCTTTGGGCCTTCTGATTTTAGATTTCTTAGAACCAACATAAGATAAGCATTGTTTACTCCAGGGCTAATTCATCCCAGTTACTAGAGTCAGATCACATTGAGTCTAACCAATTCCCCATGAATTATGAGATTTTATAATCTGGCTAGTGAGAACAGGCACTGTTCCCAAACCTCTTTTCACTGAGATTTTTTACTATTGTTATCTAATTATTTTAGAATTTACTACCTGGCCTCAGGCAGTTTTCTCATATTCTGATCTGTACTCTGCTGAATACTTTAAGATGACATTTTGTAGATCTCCAGAATTACTTATCTGTGCAACATTTCCTCTCTTATATTCTCTCCTGTGACCTAGCCCTCTTGGTCTTCCATGACTCTTACTCCATCTCCTCAACTCAAGGAGTTCACCAGTCTCTTCTTGATTCCTCTTCTCTATGCCACAGCCTGAAAAATCTTCTCAAAATAGGCCAACTGTTGAACTAACTTTTTTTCTGTCTCTCTTAGATCACTGCCCTTAATTGCCTGATGTTCAGTGTCTTCAAGACCATTGTTTTATCTAATTTTGTTCATATATTTTGTTTGCTTCAGCTGAGAGGGCTATTTGTTCTTTGTTACTCAGTATTAATCAGAAGTAGTTTTCCTAATTAAAAAAATAAAATTGATTATTTTGAATCCTCATCCTGATCTCACTTCAGCGTTTGACAAAACTGATAACCTCTTCTTGAAACTTCTTTGTATCTTAAAACCTATGTTCTTATTCCTAACTTTACATATTCTACCTCAGTGGTTTCTCCCACTTTAAAAACCCACAGGGCAATTTCTTCATTTGCCTGTCTTTACATAATAGCACACATCCCCCTTCCAAGTATTCTTTGACCTCCCCCTTTTCATTGAGTACCTTTACTTACTTCTGCATGCTCAGTTTCTCATGAATTCTAACACAGGTCAAACCTTTCTCCTGGGCAATTCCAAATGACATCTTGCTTGGTAGGTCACCTCTAATGTATTATCTTTTCACCAAGCCTCCTACTCCTCCTTCGTTTATGTGCAAATCTATTTATATATTCATATACTTTCCTATGCCTCCCGTGTTTCAAAAATATGTTGGTTCTCTTACAAAATATTGTACACAAAATATATTCTATGAATTTCTATGTACTTACAAGAAATATGCTGAATAGTTTTTGCAAAAGTAGGTATTTAGCAGTTATATAATTCATGAATAAAACTTGAATCACTTGACAGAATAAAAAACATTTCTATTTCTGACAGAAATAGACCTGACCTCTTACCTCAGGTAAGAGGTCAGGTCTAATTCTCCTAACATTGAGTATGGCCTGGTCTTAGTAAATTACTACATCTAATAGCATGTGACAGAGATAGTCACGCATGATTCTTAAAGCTATATTAGGAAAGCACACGAAAACTACACTTTATTCACTGGAATGCTCCCTCTTGGAGCCCTGAGCCATCATATGAAACATGACTACCCTGAGACAACCATGCTATGAGGAACACCAAGCCACATGGCAAATTTTTCACATGGGGCATTCTGGCCAATAACTCCAGCTGAGCTCATTCTTTAAGTCACATAAAACCAGGCAACACAAATATGTGAAAAGAAGTCTCCAGATCTTTCTAGCTCTCAGCTTTTTGAATCACTCCAATTATTTAGGTCTTCACAGTTGTAGTACAAGATATTATGAAAAGGAGAGAAGTATCATTGTGCAATATTTAAATTTTTGACCCAGAGGATCAGTAAATATAATAAAATAAGCGTTGTCTTATGCACTTAATTTTTGAATTTTTAAGGTAATATAATTGACATGACAACTTAAAAATATATTCAATAATATATACATAGACACACATAAATTTTTTTCCTGAAAGTTTGTATTATAATGTCTATTGCTATGGGCTGATAGCATGATGCCTAAATATTTTGTATCAAAGGTTGAATTGTCATAATCTGAATACCAAGCTCTTTGAATGTCTGGTTTACCTAGTGTTTCTAAGACTTTCCTAATAATATAGTCACTATGGGAATAATAAATACAGATTTCCAGGATCTTATACACTGGGCCTGAGGTAGGTACAGGAAGCTGCACACTTAAATATTATAGGCATGTTTGGAAGTCATTGGTTCAATACTAAGATTTTGAGCATCAAAAACAGAAATTTTTAATCAAACTTCAATAGACCATGATATGGTTTGGCTCTGAATCCCCACACAAATCTCACCTTAAATTGTAATCCCCATAATCCCCATGTGTCAAGGGCAGGACCAGGTAGAGGTAATTGAATCATGGGGGCAGTTTACCCCATGTTGTTCTTGTTATAATGAGTGAGTCTCAGGAGATCTGATGAATTTATAAGCATCTGGCGTTTCCCCTGCTTGCACTCATTCTTTCTCCTGCCACCCTGTGAAGAGGTGCCTTCTGCCAGGATTGTAAGTTTCCTGAGGCCTCCCCAGCCAGGCAGAACTGTAAGTCAATTAAACCTCTGTTCTTTATAAATTATCCAGTCTCAAGCAGTTCTTTATGTTAATAGTTGCATGAGGAAGGACTAGTACAGCAAATTGGTACTGATGTAGCAGGGCACTGCTGTAAACTTATCGAAAAATGTGGATGCAACTTTGCAACTGGGTAACATGAAGAAGTTGGAACAGATTAGAGGGCTCAGAAGAACACAGGAAAATGTGGCAAAGTTTGGAAATTCCTAGAGACTTGGAGGGCTCCTAAGACAGGAAGATGTGGGAAAGATTGGAACTGCCTAGAGACCTGTTGAATGGCTTTGACCAAAATGCTCATAGTGATATGGACAATGAAGTCCAGGCTGAGGTGGTCTCAGATGGAGATGAGGAACTTGTTGGGAACTGGAGTAAAGGTCACTGTTGCTATGCTTTAGCAAAGAGACTGGTGGCACTTTGTCCTTCCCCTGGAGAACTGTAGAACTTTGAACTTGAGAGAGATGTTTTAGGGTATCAGTCAGAAAAAAAATTCTAAGAGACAGAGCATTCATGAGGAAGCAGAGCATAAAACTTTGAAAAAATTTGCAGCCTGACATTGCATAGAAAACAAAAATTTATTTCCTGAGGAGAAATTCAAGCCCGCTGCAGAAACTGTATCCAAGACATGTTAGAGAACTTCCTGGAAGCCCATGATAGGTCTGGAAGCCTAGGAGGGAAAAATGGTTTATTGGGCTGGGCCCAGAGACCTCCTGCTCTATGCAGCCTCTGGACATGGTACCCTGCTTCCCAGCTGCTTCAGCACTAGCTGTGGCTAAAAGAGGCCAAGATATGGCTTGGGACATTGCTTCAGAGGGTGCAAGCCTCAAGCCTTGGTGCCTTACATGTGGTATTGGGCCTCAGGTGCACAGAAGTCAAAATTGAAGTTGAGGAACCTCTGCTTAGATTTCGGAGGATGTATGGAAACACCTGGATGTCCAGACAGAAGTTTGCTGCAGGGGCAGAGACCTGGTGGAAAACATCTTCCAGGACAGTGTGAAAGGGAAATGTGGGGTTGGAGCCCTCAGACAGAGTACCCACTGGGGTACTGCCTAGTGGAGCTATAAGAGAAGAGCCACCATTCTCCAGACCCCAGAATGGTAGATCCACCAACAGCTTGTACCATGTGCCTGGAAAAAATGCACACACTCAATGCCAGTCCATGAAAGCAGCTGGGAAGGGGGCTGTACACGGCAAAGCCACAGGGGCAGAGCTGTCCAAGGCCATGGGAGCATACCTCTTGTATCAGCATAACCTAGATGTGAGACTTGGAGTCAAAGAGATCATTTTGGAATTTTAGAGTTTAATGACTGCCCTATTGGATTTGGACTTGTGTGGGGCCTGTAGCCCCTTTTTTTGGCCAATTTCTCCCATTTGGAATAAGTATATTTACCCAATACCTGTACCCCCATTGTATATAGGAAGTAACTGACTTGCTTCTGATTTTACAGGCTCACAGGCAGAAGGGACTCGCCTTGTCTTAGATGAGACTTTGGACCTGGACTTTTGGGTTAACACAGGAATGGGTTAAGACTTTGGGAGACTTTTGAAAGGGCGTGATTGTGTTTTGAAATGTGAAGACATGAAATTTGGGAGGGATCCGGGATGGAATTATATAGTTTGGTTCTGTGTCCTCACCCAAATCTCTCCTTAAATTGTAATCCCTATAATTACCACATGTCAAGGGTGGGACCAGGTGGAGGTAAATGAATCATGGGGGTAGTTTACCCCATTCTGTTCTCATGACAATCACAAGATCTGATGGTTTTACGAGCATCTGGCATTTCCCCTGCTTGCATTCACTCCGTCCTGCCACCCTGTGAAGAGGTGACTTCTGCCATGATTGTAAGTTTCCTGAGGCCTCCCCAGCTGTGCAGAACTGTGAGTCAATTAAACCTATTTTCTTTATAAATTACCCAGTCTCAGGCAGTTATTTATAGCAGCATGAGGACAGACTAGTACAGATCGCATAGTGTTTACGACACATAAATTTTTTAAACATCCTGATAATCTTTGGTTTCTTATGAGCTCACTTTCTCATTGATCAGAACAACTATTTCAAACCTTTTGCAATAGTCTCAAATCTCTGAAGACCACTTCCTTACCTCACTCTCAGCAGATTATCTTGCTTACTACTCAGCTGAGAAAACAAAAACTTACCAGATACCATGTTCCTAACTTCCTTAAACAACTTACCACTTTAAAGAATCTAGTGCCCACTCCCCCATGCCTATTTTTCTTCTTGTTATATTAGAAGTCTTTCCCCCAACTTGGGCCATCCATCACTTTCTGCCTTCAAAAGTATTTTGTTCTATTAATCATTTTCTCTCTCCTGTATTATAATCAACTTTCTCTTATCTGCTGTCTTCCTAGAGAAATGTGGTCAAATCTATTCCATATTTGAAAAGGAAGAAGTAGCTTAACTTCTCATAAGGTATTAGAAACATTTTAGCCACAAGTAAAGATGGTGAAGTCATAGATAAAAGGACCTATGAATCCCATAAATAAACATCAAGCCTGCCTCATTTATTCTCTAGCTTCATAATCCTCTACTGATAGGCCCCTTGAAAGACTTGTGTATACTCTCTGCCTCCACTTTTTCATACTCAATCCACTCCCTAGCATTCTGTAATCTGGGTTTTGCACACTCATCACTACTTTAAAATGCACCTTGGAGGAACCCTGCAAATAGAAGACTAACAAAAGAGCTGGTGGGGAAGAAGTGTGTGTAATTAGAGATGTTATCATTATTCTAGCCCTTCAAAAATGTAAATTTCTCATACTACTATCCTATTTTATTTTTTAAAAATTGAAAAAAACGTAGAGGTACCTAATTCTAACCACCTTTCTGTACTCTAAAAACCTTCCAACAAGGAGAAAACCTTCTGACAAGAAGTCTATATACAAAAAGGACATATCCTTCTCCTCAGATGCACAAATCTGGGTGCACTAAGGGTTTCTCTGTATAGCTATAAGCAAATTAAAAGAGTAAAATACAATTCTAATTCCTCAGAAGAAGATACTCTTAAAAAAATACCTCCAAACTATCGGAAAACCATGAAAGGAAAAAGTAAATGTAAAGAAACATGCCATCTGACAAGCAGATAGTCATTTATTCTTCACATGTCAAATTTCACTTAGAATGTACTATGCTATAGGCATAATGGTCCTTCAAGAATGAGTTGGAAATTGGAAACACCTTCTTGTGAGCAGCTAATTTACAGTTATGTACCCTCATTTAAAAGTCATTCAGCAAAGAGACAAGAGCTCTTTTTTGGCCCTTCAGCAGTGAGAATATGAATACTCATAATTTTTAATGTAACTACTGGTACTAAACTAAAATTGGAAATACATTAACATATAACTCTGCAATTAGAATGTAAGGAAAATATACACACATCTGCCTTTCCAAGATACTTTTCAGAGCATGTCAGTGTGTCTTAGAAAACTTAGCAGCAATCAGCTTGTGTTGTATCCAAGATTAGGGATTCTGCCATTTTCGTCATATTCACCAGAAGTCTTAGATTGGGCTAAATGCCACATCTTCAAAGGTAAAGAATGTGAAGAGCCAAATTGTTATGGTACAAGTCTACAGAATCTGCAAGAGCAATTGCTAAAGCTACAATTTCCCAGGGGAGTAAATCAAAAACTCATTGTGCAGTGAAGAAAGGTGTACTTACAATAAAGTATACCCAGACTTTTCTCAATGAGATGGCTTAATCACAGGGGAGTGTTGGCTACTGTTTCCTTTTATTCTTACTGAATATCCACAACAAGAAAGGGATACAAACAACTTTTGATTACCTATTTTTAAAGTAGACAAAGTTAGCATGGATAAATTGTATCCACAAATCCTTCCAGGGGACAATATTCTCTGGGAGTCATCTCCCCAGACAAATATTTCTCCAGAAATTTCTCAGGAAAATGAAGTGCTTTGACCTTTACAGTGTTTTCCTTTTTTAAATTAATGTTCTACCAGAGATGATAATTCAAACATTAAAAAGCAAAGATATATGAGAAAACATAAAAAG